>NC_000012.12:69581340-69732855 GCF_000001405.40 Homo sapiens
TTCATTGAGATTTAAGATATATTTGGGGGCTGGGCATGGTGGCTCATGCCCGTAATCCCAGCACTTTGGGAGGCTGTGGAGGGTGGATCACTTCAGCCCAGAAGTTTGAGACCAGCCTGGGCAACATGGTGAAAACCTGTTTCTATGAAAAAATACAAAAATCAACTGGCGTGGTGGTGTGTGCTTGTAGTCCCAGCTACTCAAGAGACTGAGGCAGGAGGATAGATTAAGCCTGGGAGGTTGAGGCTGCAATGAACTGTGATCCTGCCACTGTGGTCCAGCCTGGGCAACATAATGAGACCCTGTTTTTTTTTTTTTTAAAGTGCTCCTCTAAGTGTGCTCCACAGACTGATTCCTGTGTACAAACTATCACGGTCTGCAACAGGAGAAATATCAAGTCTTCTAACCTTCTCCCTACTACCCAAACAGTAGGTGTCTGGGTGGACCCAACTTAATGTGACTGTGGACTCCTGGTCCTTTATTTGGTTTCCTTCCCCAGGTATTCTAACTGTTCCTGAGGAATGTTGACAAGTCCCATAACTCTGTTCTGGTGGTTGTTTGCCACTTCGCCAGTTATTTCACTCCAGTTAATGAATCTACCCTTGCTCCCAAATCACCTCTAGCCATCAAATAATGATATGCTACAGTGCTTTCCTACTTCCATAACATGCCAAGCATATCCAACCTCGGCTACTATATTTATAAAGCCTATTAGAAGACTTGGGATATAATGATAACAATAGCTAAGCTAAACAGGCACTGTTCTAAGCTATTTAATCTGTGATAATTATCTCCATTTTACACAAAGGGAAATTGAGGCACAGAGAGATTATATAACTGGAAGCTGACCAGTTAACAAAAAGCCAATTCACTGAAAGCCAAATTATACCAAGGGGAAGAGAGAGGAGGACACAGGGTCATAGAGAGGAGAGGGTCACAAAGACTTTGAGGGAGGAGGAAGGGTTAACTAAGAGAAGCCAAGACCAAGGGACTTGAGAGTAGAGGACAGAAGATGAGCCAGGAGAAAGTCACACAACGTGTTTAATCACAGAAACATGGATTCCCAAGGTCTCACTATCTCCATAGGCCCTGTAACCTATCTAATACAAATTACGATAAAATGTATAAATAGATGGGCACAGTGGCTTCTGCCTGTAATTCCAGCACTTTGGGAGGCCAAGGTGGGCAGATCGCATGAATTCAGGAGTTCAAGACCAGCCTGAGAAACATGGCAAAATCCCGTCTCCACCAAAAATACAAAAAATTAGCTGGTGTGGTGGCGCATGCCTGTATTTCCAGCTACTCGGGAGACAGGTCGGAGGATCGCTTGAAGTCAGGAGGCAGAGGTTGCAGTGAGTGGAGATCACACCACTGCACTCCTGCCTGGGTGACAGAGTAAGACCCTGTCTCAATTAAAAAATATATATATAGGTGTGGTGGCTCATGCCTGTAATCCCAGCACTTTGGGAGACTGAGGTGGGCAGATTGCTTGAGGTCAGAAGTTCGAGACCACCCTGGCCAACATGGTTAAACCCTGTCTCTACTAAAAATACAAAAATTAGCCAGCTGTGGTGGTGCATGCCTGTAGTCCCAGCTATTTGGGAGGCTGAGGCAGGAGAATTGCTTGAACCCGGGAGGCGGAGGTTGCAGTGAGTTGAGATCATACCACTGCACTCCAGCCCGAGCGACAGAGTGAAACTCTGTTTCAACAACAACAACAACAACAAAAAAGTATAAACAGCTAAAAGAGACAGTTTTTGGTAAACCAGCACATTGATCACGCTCTGAATGGCCTTCAATGAACTGATTTAAAGAGCCTGTGAAACCCACCCAAGACTACAAAGCTAGTACGTAAAATGGTTGAAATTCAAACTCATATAGTCTGGGTCTAGAAGCTGAGTGTTTAGCCTCTAGGTGTAGAGGTGTCATCAAAGGAGGGGGAAGTAGGAAAGAAGGAAGGGTCAAAAGATGCAATGGAGAAAGGACACATTTCCAAGGGTCCCATCATAGAGTCTCTTCCTGGCTGCCTCTAGCCTCAGTTCCACAAGGTGGCAGGGCCTGCCTCCTTCTCCCCATCCAAATGCCTCTGGCTACATTCAAAGCCCAGCAGGGAGCAGTCATTGGTTTCCCCATCACACACAGTCTCAGGCTTGCCTACCAGAGGACATAATAAATATCTCCAGGTATGTAATTTTGCCCACAATAAAAACAACCTTTTTCAATATTGTGCAGGCATCTTAGTTTTTTATTGTGAATCTTCTCATTCCAGAATGCGATTTGGGATCTGCCTAGGAAAGTACATTTCCTGAAAGAAGACCAAATTTTCCTACAAAGAAGAGAAAACTCTTGGGAGATTTAAAATAACAATTTGTCCAGCCTGAACTCCCCTTTTCATGTTGGACCTGAGGAATACTGTAAACCAGGGTCAGCAAACTTTTTCTGTAAAGAATTAGATAATACATGTTTTAGGTTTTGTGGGCCCATTCAACCTGTCATGACTACTCAACTCTGCCACATAACTCTGCTATCGTATTGTGACAGAGTAAATATGTATGGGTATGCCCATGGATTCCAATGAAGCTTTATGGACACTGAAATATTAATTTCACAGGATTTTCATGTGTCAGGAAATTTTTGATTTCTTTCAACCACTTAAAAATGTAAAAACTATTCTTAGCTCTCAGGCCATACAAAAAACAACTGGCAGGCTGGGTTTGACTCCTCACAGCTTGCCAACCCCTGGTGGAAATCAACCCACTTAGAGGAAATCTGAAGGGTAGAAACAACTAAAAAATTGAAAATTCCTGTTAATGTTAGCAATGTCAAAAATCCAGGAGACCCCAGCTACTCAGGAGACCAAGGCAGGAAGATTGCTTGAGCCCAGGAGTTCCAGGCCAGCCTGGGCAACATAGAAGACCCCATCTCTAAAAAAAACAAAACAGAAAAAGAAAAATCCAGGAGCTTGTTTTGTTTTGTTTTTGTTTTGAGACAGAGTCTCGCTCTGTTGCCCAGGCTGGAGTGCAGCGGCGTGATCTCGGCTCACTGAAACCTCTGCCTCCCGGGTTCAAGCAATTATCCTGCCTCAGCCTCCTGAGTAGCTGGGATTACGGGCATGCACACCACGCCCGGCTAATTTTTGTATTTTCAGTAGAGACAGGGTTTCACCATGTTGGCCAGGCTGGTCTCCAACTCCTGACCTCAGGTGATCCGCCCACCTCGGCCTCCCAAAGTGCTGGGATTACAGGGGTGAGCCACCGCGCCCTGCCGAGGAGCTTAAGCGATCAGTTAGTCAAAGGGAGAAAAGAGGGTATCAGTAGATGACAGAAAAATTTTTTAGAGAACAAATTTTTAGACATCCGTCAACTTAGAGAAAGTAGAAAACTGTCTATAATAAACTGAAATATTTGGGACTGATCTTGATGTCTGCCAAGGTTTTGGCAGACATCAAGATCAGTCCCAAATATTTCAGTTTATTATAAACAAAGACTAATAAGTCGTCTCTACTATTGGAGGAAAAAAAAAAAAAAGACCGAAATGCAAAAATTCCTGAAAATGAGTAAATAGGGCAAAGATAAAATACTATAAATGTCTCTCTCAGTTCACAAGACCTTATCCTGGGCAGTCAACGTCCAGTTAGAAATAACGTCTGAAAATTCAGTAAGAGAAAAGGAAGTCTTCTTCTGTAATACTCAGTAAATAATGTTTAAAATTAACATAGCAATAATATTATCTGGGAATATGATAGTAAATAGCCCCTCCAAAAAACTGAAAAAGTTGAAAGCAGTTTTCCTGGAGACAGGAAGTGGTGAGGCAGATAAATTATGTTTTTCCTTATTGGTATATAACACTTTAAACTGTGTACATGTGTGACTTTAATAGAAGTGTTTAAAGATTAAATTTAAGAAAATAAAAAGTGTGAGCAAGAACTCCATTTCTATGGCAACCCGCGCGGCAGCCGCCTCTTTGTTCTGGAGCGGCGGCCACGCCCCCTCCAGTGTGAAAGGCTGCGTTTCCGGCCCGTGGGGCTCCAATCAAAATGGGACGCCTGCTGGCGGTAACGACAGGCCGGGGCCCCGCCCCCCGAAGTAGGGCGTGTGGCGTCACTTCCGGCTTCCTTCAGTCCGCTGGTCCCGAGCACGAGCTGTGAGGGGATTCACTTGTGTGCGGAACTCCTCGGAACCATGGTGAGCCTGACTCCCCTGCCTCTTGCCCTACCCCTGCTCCGCCGTGCTCTTGCCACCCCACTGCTTCCTCTGTCCTGCTAGGGTCGTAGGCTCCGTTTCTGTCTCCCCGGCCCTCCGCACATGGTGCGAGCCATGCGCGGGGCGTGCGGCCTGCGCCAGGCCAGCCGGTGGAGCTCACCACGAGGGGGAGGGGTGGACCGCAAAGCCAGCGTCTCCTTGTGCCTAGGTCTTTGCATAGTCCCGGCAGCCCAGGTCCGCGCCTCACCCGGAGCGAAGAAATTTCTAGTGTGGGACCCGCTCCGCCCTCCTTCTAGGGGCGGAGCCTGGAGCGACGGGGTCTGAGCCATCAGAGGGTGGAGGGGCCGCAGCCTTCCGAGGGTGGAAGATGGAGGCCGCGTTCCCTCGCCCGCCCGGCAGGCGTCACCTTGATGGCCTGCAACCCCTCCCTGCCTCATTCTTAGTTCAAGATCGTCTTTAGTCTCGCTGTACGTAACTGTCAATCTCGCTGGTGTATAATTTATACTCCCGGGGGCCTTGTAAATCCGAAAAGCCATGTCGCTCTCCTACAAGTCCCTCTCTCCCACTTAAATGCTTTCTCCGATGATGGAAGCTTCATTTGATTGAAAACATTGTTGTAAATGAGTTTTCTCTTAGATGTCCACTTGTAAGACTAGTGGAAGGCACCTCAGTGTATGTGTTAGAGTATTGGTACTTAAACGGAATGCCTCTTGGTTTTCCTTTTCAGGCGTCCCTTTCCCTTGCACCTGTTAACATCTTTAAGGCAGGAGCTGATGAAGAGAGAGCAGAGACAGCTCGTCTGGTAAGCCTTGTTCTAAGCATTGTTTTAAAGATAAAACTGGAGGCCAGGCGCGGTGGCTTACTCCTGTAATCCCAGTACTTTGGGAGGCCGAGGTAGGCGGATGAACTGAGGTCAGGAGTTCGAGACCAGCCTGGCCAACATGGTAAAACCCCGTTTCTACTAGAAATACAAAAATTAGCCGGGCGTGGTGATGGGCACCTGTAATCCCAGCTACTCGGGAGGCTGAGGCAGGAGGATCGCTTGAACCCAGGAGGCGGAGGTTGCAGTGAGCTGAGATCGCGCCATTGCACTCCAGCCTGGGCGACAGAGCGACACTCTGCCTCAAAAAAAAAAAAAAGTAAATAAAGATAAAACTGTACTTGAAGACTGTAAAGTTGATTCTGATAATCTCCTTGGTTTTTACTCCAGACTTCTTTTATTGGTGCCATCGCCATTGGAGACTTGGTAAAGAGCACCTTGGGACCCAAAGGCATGGTAAGAAAAATAGAAAAGTTTTATATTTTAATATTGTTTTAGAGCGCTTGGTGGAAATATAATAACAAGCGTATTAAAATGCTTTTTAATCTTTAAAACGTTTAATTATAAAAGACAAGTATGTTCTCCTTAGTAAAAATCAGAGTCCCCAGAATCACCATCCCCAATCCCATGCCCCTCCCCAATGACAAGTACTGTTATCATTTGCACGTACATCTTCTAATATTCTGTTTATGTAGAAGTATGTGTACTTCATTATGTATTTTATACTCATGTAACATACTGTTTTATAAAACAGATACTATTTATCAATACTTTTTTGTAGCTTGCTCTTTTAAATTCCTTTCAGTGTAAGTAGATAACACTGCCCCTTTAACTGTCAAATATTATCCTGTACCTTAATTATTTTATAATTTAATTATGGCTGTATTGATAGTTTCTTTCCATTGTTTTTGCAGTTACGGTGTTGAAACAAAAACTAGTGTCTACCTGTGCTTCTAGTGTTTCTAGGGGTAGATACATGGTTTGGTTACGTGGTGTATGTATTGAAAACATTTGATGAATGGATACCACAAAATAGCTATCCAGAGTGTTTATACACTAGCACTGTGTGAGAATACTGATTGATCCATGCATTCTTCAAGATGTGCTTATGTCTTAACTTGAACCAATTATGTTCCCTTTAGGACAAAATTCTTCTAAGCAGTGGACGAGATGCCTCTCTTATGGTAACCAATGATGGTGCCACTATTCTAAAAAACATTGGTGTTGACAATCCAGCAGCTAAAGTTTTAGTTGGTAAGTCTGAATATACTTTTTCACCAACCTAATAATACTGTTTGTTAACATTTTTGAAATAACTTTATAAATAGGCTGTGTTGACCAATCGTACTGTCAATTGATGTCCACTAGTTGTTAATTATCGTTGTTAAAATACAAGCTTCAGGAGTGCCCGTATGTTGGTGGTAAAACTGTTGCATTTCAGACCTCAGAGTTCCAAATAATTTGTTGAATGAGGAACCCTGGTAAGTTTAGATTGGTAGTGAATATTTTTGGAGAATTTAGTAAGCAAAGAAGCAATTTTGAGTTAATAACTAATTTCTTTTTCTAGATATGTCAAGGGTTCAAGATGATGAAGTTGGTGATGGCACTACCTCTGTTACCGTTTTAGCAGCAGAATTATTAAGGGTAAGAGCAACTAAGCAACTCTTTTTTCCTACTGTGTTTTTGAGTATCAGAGGTAATCTAGTCCTTACTTCCTCTGTCTTTACTATTGAGGAGTGCTTAATAATTTTCTATTTATAACTTTTGTTTTATAACTTTATTAATAGGAAGCAGAATCTTTAATTGCAAAAAAGATTCATCCACAGACCATCATAGCGGGTTGGAGAGAAGCCACGAAGGCTGCAAGAGAGGCGCTGTTGAGTTCTGCAGTTGATCATGGGTTTGTATAGCAAAGTACTACTGTTCTAAACATTTAGTGTTCTTTCATAACATGCTTAATGCAAGAAATCTATAGGACACTGAAAAGCATACACAAAGATCATCTTGCTGCCTCACCCCACTCCAACAGTCAAACCTACATCAGCCTCCAGAGATAGCCACTAAAGTTAAGTTTGGGTTTTTAGTCTTTTTGTATATATCATCAAAATATACAAATAAAGCAAATAGTATAATACTGTATAGAGAATTTGTTAGCCTCTTTTTAACCTAGTTAAATATTAAGCACATTTTTGGATGTCAATTTTCTGTGCAGTATTTTAATAGAGTTACACATTTGAATATTTGGCTAGAATGACTGTATTAACCTATCTGTAGGGGGAGATTTGTGTATTTGATGATTTTTAGCATTATAAAATAACTTTGTGACGTTGCGACATAGCCCAAAGGTTTCTAGAAGTGTAATTGTTGGGTCCAAAGGTAAGTGTGTGTGTTTTAAGGCACCCCCAAACCTGGGCTGCACAGCAGGTGAGCAGCAGGTGGAAAAATTGTCTTCCCATGAAACCAGTCCCTGGTGCCAAAAAGGTCCGGGACCACTGTTTTAAGGCACTTCTATTTATTTGCCCATTCACAACTGTATAATAATACTTGTTTTTCACGTCCTTTTATTTATTTATTTATTTTGAGACGGAGTCTCGCTCTTAGAGTTGCCCAGAATGGAGTGCAGTGGCACGACTTCGGCTGACTGCAACCTCTGCCTCCCGGGTTCAAGCGATTCTCTTGCCTCAGCCTCCCAAGTAGCAGGGACTACAGGCATGTGCCATCATAGCCAGCTAATTTTGTATTTTTAGTGTAGATGGGGTTTCACCATGTTGCTCAGGCTGGTCTTGAACTGACCTCAAGTGATCCATCCTCCTCAGTCTCCCAAAGTGCTAGGATTACAGGCGTGAGCCACTGTGCCCGGCCATTTCTCACATTCTTGCCAACATTAGACTTTTGCATGCTTGTGTGGCCCCCACCCCTCTTTTTTTTTTGGCATTTTGCCAGTTTGGTGGGGAAAATAACATCTTTAATTTGTGTTTCTTGATTACTGCTGAGGTTTAATTCTTTTCATATAGCTTACAGACTTGATCAGTTAGGGTAAAATTATCTATTGACATGAATATCTAGATAAATTTTGAAAAGTAAAGTAGGGTTAATATGTATATTTGGTTGGTTTTATTTAGTTCCGATGAAGTTAAATTCCGTCAAGATTTAATGAATATTGCGGGCACAACATTATCCTCAAAACTTCTTACTCATCACAAAGACCACTTTACAAAGTTAGCTGTAGAAGCAGTTCTCAGACTGAAAGGCTCTGGCAACCTGGAGGCAATTCATATTATCAAGAAGCTAGGAGGAAGTTTGGCAGATTCCTATTTAGATGAAGGTATGTATGAATGTCAGATACAAGAAGCTTTGATTAGATGCTGAGGGCTGAATACTGAGTGAATTCTGTTTTGAGACCAGTGACCCTTTACAAAGCCAGTGAACTTGAATTTAAGGACATATCATATGTGCAACCATTTTTGTCATTTTATTGACAGTGTACTCCTCTTCCCGCGCTATTCCAGCATTGTTGATGATCTCTAGAGTTTACTTAACTACCATGAAGTTATTTGCAGTCTCTGATAAAGAGGAAATGTTTTCTTTTACTAGAAATCATCTATTCTCAAATGGTACTTTTACCAGGATTATATGTATTCTCCAGGAAGGGTCTGGGTCAGTCAAATCATTGTGTTAGCTGGTTGTTGAGGATGTACAGTTGACCATTGAACAACATGGGTTTGAATTATGTAGGTTCACAATGCAGGTTTTTTCAATAAATATAGTCAGCCCTTTGTGTCCGTGGTTTGCACATGTGCAACCGAACGTGGATGGAAAATGCAGTATTTGCAGGATTTGAAACCCATGTATATAGTGGGCCAGCTTTTCAAATCTGCTGGTTCCAGTCAGCCTGGAACTTAAGTATGTGGGGATTTTGGTGTATGTGGGCGTCTTGGAACCAGTCCCCTTCGTATACTGGGGGATGACTAGTTTTTTTTAGAAAAGAATTAAAAAAAATTTCTTTAACAAATAATTATGTATGTTTATAGGGCAAGAGGATCTAGTTCTTAAAGAGTGATAAATGAGACATAATAAGTACTGCTTTCTTAGTAGTACATTTTTGTTTAGAGTGAAGTTTTCCAGATCATCTTCACATTATATTTACTTCACAAAATGGCCTGTCAAAAAGTATAGGCATTCTTATATAGAGAAGGAAAAAAAAAGAATTAGATGGTGCTTTACAACTTCTGTTTTTACCAGTGGTTTGGAGTCCTGGTTTTGTTCTGTGTCATAGGTCTTGATTTATTTTAAGAGAGAGTCATAATTCTGAAAATACTCTTGATTAAGTTTATATACAAGAGCTGTGTAGCATTTCTTTTTTTTTTTTTTTGAGACGGAGTCTGGCTGTGTCACCCAGGCTGGAGTGCAGCAGTATGATCTCGCCTCACTGCAACCACTGCCTCCTGAGTTAAGGCGATTCTCCTGCCTCAGCCTCCTGAGTAGGTGGGATTACAGGCGTGTGCCACCATGCCTGGCTAACTTTTTTGTATTTTTAGTAGAGACGGGGTATCGCCATGTTGACCAGGCTGGTCTCGAACTCCTGACCTAAGGGGATCCACCTGCCTCAGCCTCCCAAAGTACTGGGATTACAGGCGTGAGCCACCATGCCTGGCCGCTGCGTAGCATTTCTGATAGGGGCTGGTGGTAGGGAAGGAGCATTAAAACAAGAATATTAGTAGCACAAGCAGCACCATTCTTGAATGTCTGCTCTGTACTAGGAATTGTAATAGGAACTTTAGTCATTTAGTCATCATGACCTGGTGAGTGAGGATTAGGTTCACTTGAATAGAGTAGAAAACCCAAGATAATGGTGGCTTCATAATGGAAAAGTTTCTAATGTAACCAAAAAAAGGCCTAGAAAGGTAGGTGGTACTGGGTTTGTATGATGGTTCCAAAGCAGCAGGACTAGGCTGGTAACTAGCACCTCTGCTACTGGTTACATTCCTGTTTTACAAATTAGCATTTCTGGTTGGATAATTTGTCGAAGGTTATATAGCCAGCAGCAGGGGCATGATCAGGGTCAGATTTATCTGACTCCACGGTGTCCATGGTTTTTCCATTTTTACCACCAGCCTCAATACCTGAATCTTCAATTTTTCTCTTGTGGTGGTGATTTTAAGCTAATAAAAATATAGGACTTAACCTATTGTCTTTATATTGCAACCCATACAGATGTGGGTGTAGCGTATATCTGAAACAAAAGTTTCAAAATACTGTTTAATTTTATTGTCTGTACTGTGCTCTTATATTTTCTGTTTCATATTTTTTAAGTAACCCATTAAATTGATTTTGTAATAACTCTTCTAGTGGGATGCTTTATACCAGAAGTGTCCAAGGAAGAGAATACAGTCATGGGTTCCTAGTTTCTGTTTCTGGTTGGGTCGGTAAAGCCCCTTCCTCCTCCCTCTTTTCTGCTTATCACTAGAGACAGAAACTAAAATCCATGGCTTTCAGGCGCTAAAAGCCTAAAAGCAAAACAACAACAGAATAAGGCAGGTTGGACAAGCTTGCTTTTATGCCTTCTAAGAGCTTGGTAAATTGGACTTAAATAGCTTCTTTGAAACAGTGATATGATAAAGCAGACAGCTTTTTATAAGATTTACTAAGGCTGCTTTGAAGTATTAAATATGATACTGTTCTTATATTTATTGTAGGCTTCCTGTTGGATAAAAAAATTGGAGTAAATCAACCAAAACGAATTGAAAATGCTAAAATTCTTATTGCAAATACTGGTATGGATACAGACAAAATAAAGGTATGTAACTCTACTTTTTAAAAATTAAAATTACTGCCCAGGCAGAGTGGCTCATGCCTGTAATCCTAGCAATTTGGGAGGCCAAGGTGGTGGATCATCTGAGATCAGAAGTTTGAGACCAGCCTGACCAACATGGAGAAACCCTGTCTCTACTAAAAAAAAAAAAATACAAAATTAGCTGGGCATGGTGGCGCATGCCTGTAATCCCAGCTATTCGGGAGGCTGAGGCAGGAGAATCACTTGAACCCAGGAGGCGGAGGTTGCACTGAGCCGAGATTGTGCTACTGCACTCGAGCCTGGGCAACAAGAGTGAAACTCCGTCTCAAAAGTCTCAAAAAAAAAAAAATTGCTGGATTCTATAAACTCAGGAATCAATTGCACTAAAAAGCTTGGAATAGGTATGAATCTATTGTGTATATACACATATATATACGTTGGTAAAAATGTTGAAATATGCTATGGGACTCTTTAAAAAGAGTAATGAGGCCTGGCGTGGTGGTTCACGCCTGTAATCCCAGTACTTTGGGAGGCCAGGCGGGCGGATCACAAGGTCAGGAGTTCAAGGCCAGACTGACCAATGTGAGATGGTGAAACCCTGTCTTTACTAAAAATACAAAAATTAGCTGGGTGTGGTGGCGCACACCTGTAATCCCAGCTGCTTGGAAGGCTGAGGCAGGAGAATCACTTGAACCCAGCGGGTGGAGGTTGCAGTGAGCCGAGATTGCCCCACTGCACTCCAGCCTGGGCAACAGAGCGAGACTCAATCTCAAAAAAAATAATGAAACTGATGCTCTCTTTATGCTTCGTTTGTCTTAGATATTTGGTTCCCGGGTAAGAGTTGACTCTACAGCAAAGGTTGCAGAAATAGAACATGCGGAAAAGGAAAAAATGAAGGAGAAAGTTGAACGTATTCTTAAGCATGGAATAAATTGCTTTATTAACAGGTCTGTGTTTGCTTTTAAGAAAGGATTTTTTTCCATGAAAGTTTATGGAATACTTCATATTTACTTATATTGAATTAGATTTTTTACCTAGGAACTGTCTTAGATAACTTCACTTAAATTATGGATTTTTGTAATCAGTAAATTGTGATTTATGCACACTTACAGTGACCAGAATTACGGGATTGATTTATACAGTTACTATAATAAAGAACACTTCTTTTCAATACTAGTAATGGATGCATTAGTACTATAGTTGATAAACTCTAATTATATAGGTAAGAAATGCAATCTTGTTCTAATTTGCATTTCTTTTACTTGTGGTAAAAATGTTTACATGTTTTTTAGTCTAATGTAGTTTATCTTGTAACAGTTGTGAGCATAATGTTTTCATGTATTTTATTTACAGGCAATTAATTTATAATTATCCTGAACAGCTCTTTGGTGCTGCTGGTGTCATGGCTATTGAGCATGCAGATTTTGCAGGTGTGGAACGCCTAGCTCTTGTCACAGGTATGGAAAAAAGGTATTGTTTTCTAACAAACACAATAGTCACTCTTGAATTTGTTATTTGTTACTATATGCAACTACCTTTAAGGAGTTTAGAATTTCAGCAGTTATTCTGAAATCTATTCTCTTGGATACCTTTAATTTAGATACATAGATACATTACATTTACGATACCAAGTTATATACCACATTTGCCGTAGGTATAGATTTCTTTCATTGTGTCACTGTTTTAAAGGTAGATTTTTGGCCAGGTGCAGTGGCTTGTGCCTGTAATCCCAGCACTTTGGGAGGCCGAGGCAGCCAGATCGCTTGAGCTCAGGAGTTTCAGACCAACTTTGGCAACATTGCGAACCCACATCCCTACAAAAAAAAAAAATTGGCCAGGTGTGGTGGCAAGCGCCTGTGATCCTAGCCACTTGGGGGGAGGCTGAGGGAAGAGAATCGCTTGAGCCTGGGAGGCAGAGGTTGCAGTCAGCGGAGATCGTGCCACTGCGCTCCAGCCTTGGCGACACAGTGAGACCCTGTCTCAAAAAAAAAAAAAGATATGTATATTTTTTTCTCACAAACCTGTAAGACCGTTGTTAAAATCTGAACAAACTAGAGCTTTAAAAAGTCTTAAGTCTACTTACATTTATCTAGTTCGTACATTTGTTTTTATTGCTTAGTAAGTAGTTGAATGCTTTGTGTCCTTTGTAGTAGTACAGTTACAATAGTAACCTTTATTGAACATTTACTGTGTGCTGGAGAGTGGGTCAAGTACTGAAACATTGCTTTTGTTAATTTTAAAAAATTTCTGAAAGTAATAAACGTTAGCATACGTGAAACAATCAACATTGTATAATGAAAATTAGTATACCTCAATACCCTTTAATAGAAGTATGAGTGATATAATTCCAGTTGTGTCAAATAGAAATTGTGTTTATAAATCAGACATGTCTGTCTACATCACAATGACATGAGTTCAGGCTGGTTGCGGTGGCTCATGCTTGTAATCCCAGTGCTTTGAGAGGCCAAGGCAGGAAGATTGCTTGAAGCCAGGAGTTCAAGACCAGCCTGGGCAATATAGTAAGACTGTCTCTACAAAAAATTAGCTGGGCGTGGTGGCACATGCCTGTAGTCCTAGCTACTTGGGAGGTTGAGGCAGGAGATCTCTTCAGCCCAGGAGTCCAAGGCTACAGTGAGCTGTGATCACGTCACTGCAGTCCATCCTAAGTGACAGAGCAAGACCCTGTCTTTAAAAAAAAAAAAAAAAATGCAGCTTGTTTGCTTTTTATTGTGGTAATGGTTTAAAAATTATTGTTTATTAAATTTTTACAGATTTAGGGATATAAGTATAGTTTTGTTAATGGTTTTCATAGTACACTCTAAGCCCTGGAAAATAAGTTTAACACTTTTCTAGATTTTAGGTCCTTGAAAATGAATGAATAGGTTGGAAAGTTGGTTTGGGAATGAGAATTAAGGAGACCTGGGTTATGAGTTGTGAAGTCAGTAGGGCTGTCACACTGTTTGGAACTGCCATGAATATTAGAAGAAATTATAGTGTACTAACCTTTGGAGAGTGGACTTGGTCTCATCCCAGAATGATCTCTTAAGACGTTTTTTTTAATCATTTGAGAAGCATAGTCGTCTTCTAACCAAGAGACATTTTCCTTTAATTACTTGAAGTGGGTTTACTTGCTTTAAAGTTACTTAGGAGCCATTGCGTACTTGATGCTTTAAGGTGACAAATAAACACAATTTAAGATGCTCATGTTTATGTAATTCATTCTTTAGTTCCACAAAATAAAGATGTAAGAGGCCGGGTGTGGTGGCTCACGCCTTTAATCCCAGCACTTTAGGAAGGCCTAAGTGGGCAGATCACAAGGTCTGGAGTTTGAGACCAGCCTGGTCAATATGGTGAAACCCTGTCTCTACTAAAAATAAAAAAATTAGCCAGGCGTGGTGGTGGGTGCCTGTAGTCGCAGCTACTCGGGAGGCTGAGGCAGGAGAATCACTTGAACCCGGGAGGTGGAGGTTGCAGTGAGCTGAGATTGGCGCCACTGCACTCCAGCCTGGGTGACAGAGCGAGACTCCGTCTCAAAAAAAAAAAAAAAAAAAGATGTAAGAAGTAAATGGTAATAATATATTGATGGGATAAACATATCGTAAGGTCTTGACATGAAATTGCTCTATACCCAGAAGAATGTTTATTAAGTACACCAACTGTATGTCTATGAAGGTGACCACATGGTGGCTCCCATCCTTAAAAGCTCAGTGGTTGTCAAAGGTGTATGATGACATTGGTTCTTGCAAGTGTCATTAAATAAATGTCTTGCACTGGGCATGGTGGCATGTGCCAGCAGTTTGATCTATTCAAGAGGCTGAGGCAGAAAGATTGCTTGTGCCCAGGAGGTTGTGCTATGATGGTGCCTGGTGAATAGTCATTGCGCTCCAGTCTAGGCAAGGTAGCAAGACACTCTCTCTTTAAAAAGAAAGAAAAGTCTCATGTAGAAGGATGAAGTGAAAAGTTTCATAAGCCAAGTTAGTCTTATTTTTGGATATGACGTCCCAAATATCTGTTGTGTCTCACATCTAGAACACAAAGCAGTCTCAGAATTTTGCCAGCCAAAAGTAAAAAGAACTTTATACAAATTATGAGTATAAATTAGTAGTTTCAAAGACCAGAGTCTTTATGAATTTATTATAAAATAAATAATAGAGCATTGACAGATTTATCAGTAAGGCATAGGAAAAGAAGGGTTGATTGATAATATATGCAATTCACATTATGAAAGGAGTAGTCAGCTAGAGAAAAGGATTTTGAAATGGAAACCTGACTTTTGCTTAGTTAGGAAATAGGGAACGAAGTGGCTGACCTGTTCAGTTTACAGCATGGAAGATGGAGGGAAAATAGGAATAGAAATGAGACATAAGGACTAAATTAATTTGTTCTTATTAAATTTGGTCTGGGAAATTCTTAGTATGCATTTCTTGTTTTTTTAGGCCTTAGGACATTTCATTTGTGATAATTAGAGATATCAGGTGCTTATTAAGCAGTTCATGAAGTGTATAGTGGTTGACTTATAGGACAAATATTTTCATGTCTTGTGCTGGGAATTGTATCATGAGGTCTTAGTCTTATAGGTTGGATTCAGAAGAGAATCTGAATTTAAACTCAAAAGTAACTGCTTTAAGACTCAGTTTAACCTTGGGAAGGTAGTATTGTATAGTGTGTGCTTATAGGTCTGAAGCCAGACTGCTTGAGTTTGAACCCCAGCTTTTTATATTCATCCTAGTTAGGTCTTTGGATAGGAAGGTAAACCTCTTGGCCTCATTTTTATCATGTGTAAAATGGGATAATAATGGAGCCTATCCAAGAGGATTATTTTAAAGATTAAATAATTAGTCGATATGAAGTATTTAAAAAGAGTGCCAGGAATATAATCAGCAATCAATTTTTAAAATGTGAAACACATTACCTATCATTATCTATCCATTACTGCTTATTAGAAAACAGGAATTTTAAGCCTGCTGTGCATTTAACTAATACATGTTTATGTTTATAGGTGGTGAAATTGCCTCTACCTTTGATCACCCAGAACTGGTGAAGCTTGGAAGTTGCAAACTTATCGAGGAAGTCATGATTGGAGAAGACAAACTCATTCACTTTTCTGGGGTTGCCCTTGGTGAGTGATTATGTAGATCCTGGTTAGGGTGTCTAAATTCTTGCTAGGCTCTGTTGAAGTAAAGGTTATTGTAGTTACTAGAATAGCATATCTTACAAGTCTTAACTCTTCAGAAGCATGATACATACTTTGTTTCAGTCTCTTGAGTCAACCTCATATTTACCGTGTCTTTGTGAACAGTGCATGTTCAACAGTTTTTTTTCCTTGATAACTTAGAACCATTATGAGCCTTGATTGTTGGAGAATGTATAATACAGGAAGACAGGTCAGCTTTCAGAACCCAGTAATATAACCAACACCGGCATAAATAATAGAAGGCAAACTTTTTATCCCTAAGTGGTCACTGTGTCTTTTAATTTTAGGTGAGGCTTGTACCATTGTTTTGCGTGGTGCCACTCAACAAATTTTAGATGAAGCAGAAAGATCATTGCATGATGCTCTTTGTGTTCTTGCGCAAACTGTAAAGGACTCTAGAACAGTTTATGGAGGAGGTAAGCATTTAGAAAATGTTGAATATATTTTTAATTTCTTAAAGTACAATATAAGTCATAAGTGGTTTTAATGGTTCTTACAGAAATCTTATATTGCTTTTGCACTAAATTTTAAAATGCTTGGCATATCTTAAAGTCAGTAATTCAGTATCTTGGAGACAACTAAGCATTGCAATATTTTATTGGAATTTTAATCTTTAGGCTGTTCTGAGATGTTGATGGCTCATGCTGTGACACAGCTTGCCAATAGAACACCAGGCAAAGAAGCTGTTGCAATGGAGTCTTATGCTAAAGCACTGAGAATGGTAAGTTAATCAAAATGAGAGATCCGAACTTAAGTTTTGTGGTTATTGATAGTTTTAAAATGAGTAGAAAATGAACTGGTTAATACTGCTTTTAAATTTGATTCTGGAGTTTCTCCTCTTCGTGAGCAGTAACTGAAGCAGATTTTACATTGTTCCTAAATGTATAATTTTAAAAAGCTATCCTAGTTAGGAGTAAATCAGTGGTTCTTACAGTAGAGTGAGTAGTTACTTGTTTTCTTCATTTTCATAGTTGCCAACCATCATAGCTGACAATGCAGGCTATGACAGTGCAGACCTGGTGGCACAGCTCAGGGCTGCTCACAGTGAAGGCAATACCACTGCTGGATTGGGTAAGCAATCAAGGGGAACTTTGTGGCCGTTGTTAAAAGTAACTCTTTTCACTAAGCTTTTTTTTTCTTTTGGAACATAAAGAGTTACAATAACCGTATAAAAGACTCTTTTGGACTTTGTCCTCATAATCATTACATGTGCTGGGAAAATGTGTGTGACTTTATATGCTCAGCATTTCCCAAACTTTGTTATTCCATAAGACATGTAAAACTGGTTAGAAGATTTGTAACTATTTGGTATATAACGACTATAGGATTTAAATATAAACAATACTTACATTCTGAAAAATAACATAAACTATTATGTTGTTTATACAATCAGTATTAACTTCTAATTTCATAGTAAACTTACTGCAAGATAATCTTGAGTACAGATCACAGATCTCTAGTCCATAGATAAAAGTGGCCAATGAGGCAGATTTAATTCATATTGAAAAACTTTCTGACAAGCTGTGCTGGACATTATAGAGTAGTCTTAAGAAGGTAGATAATCCTGTCATTGAACAAGAGGGAGCACCAGTTAATCTGTGAGAAAATGAAGCAGGATTCTCACAAGAAGAGAAGTTGGGTAGGTAACTTATGAATTTTCTTCCATTTGTTTTTTATTATTTGATATGTTGTCTTCTATTAATATGGGTGATCAGTAGTTGACATTATTGTTGTTATTACTATTATTATAACTGACACAATGGTCTTGCTCTGTTCCCCAGGCTGGAGTGCAGTGGCACCATGATAATTCACTGCAGCCTTGAACCCCTGGCTCAAGCAGTTCTCCTTCCTCAGCCTTCCAAGTAGTTAGGGCTAAAGGCATGTGCCACAATGCCTGACTAAATTATTTTTATTTTCTTAGAGATGGGGGGGCAGTCTCACTATGTTGTTCAGGCTGGCCTCAAGCAATCCTCCTGCCTCAGCCTCCCAAAGTGCTAGGATTATAGGTGTGAGCCACTGATCCTGGCCCCTTTTATTTTATTTATTTATTTTTTGAGATAGAGTTTCACTGTTGTTACTCAGGCTGGAGTGCAGAGGCATGATCTCAGCTCACTGCCACCTCTGCCTCCTGGGTTCAAGTGATTATCCTGCCTCAGCCTCCTGAGTAGCTGGGATTACAGGTGCCCACCACCATGCCCGGCTAATTTTTTATATTTTTAGTAGACGGGGTTTCACCATGTTTGCCAGGCTGGTCTCCAACTCCTGACCTTAGGTGATCTACCTGCCTCAGCCTCCCAAAGTGCTGGGAGTACAGATGTGAGCCGCTGCACCCGGCCCCTTTTAATTTTTTTAAAGGCTTTCTTTGAGCTCATTTGTAGGCTTATCTACCTACTGAGTAAAGTAGTTGGGTGTCCTAATTTTATTAATAGGATTAATTTTTATTATAAATCATTAGAGATGTTTTGATACTTTAGTTAAAACTGCTTTTTAGTAAATTTGTTTTTCTTTGCAGATATGAGGGAAGGCACCATTGGAGATATGGCTATCCTGGGTATAACAGAAAGTTTTCAAGTGAAGCGACAGGTTCTTCTGAGTGCAGCTGAAGCAGCAGAGGTGATTCTGCGTGTGGACAACATCATCAAAGCGGCACCCAGGTACCCTAACACTTTTCTCAGAAAAAATTACTAACAGCAAAACAAAATAGGGAGCTGTATTTATTTTATAATTAGAGTTAATGAAAAGCAGAGACAGTTTTGCCTGGATAAAAGTATGTAAGTTATTTAAAATATCACAACTCTTAACACTTAAGCCAGAAAAACTTAAGGGGAAAGAGGGATGGGCAGCTGAGGTAGCTCTTAGGATTGAAAAGGCACAGAAAGAGCCATGCTTGGAAAGGTCAAGTACTGAGGACAGTAGATGCTGTGATGCTTTCTATTGTCTTTAAACAGAATGATAGCAAAAGGAAACTGAGTTCTGTAACTAAAGTGTTCTAGGGCAAGGTCATATAGCCACACCTACTCCCAGAAATCTTCACAAGAAGTCAGTGCCCTCACCCACAGTTGAAATAACGCTTAAAAAATGTATAATACCTTGTTTGGTCTGATACTGTTTTAGAGATCAGGTATCTTTTATTAGCAAATTCTGAGTAATTTGCAATAAAGAAACTGAATTTTAACTCAGCCTTCCAGACCTACCAGACCATGGGCTTCTTTTTCATATTCCTTATTAATCTCCAGAAGACTTTTTTTTTCAGATCAGTGCCCTGTGACAGCTGCTTCATAACTCTTGACAATGGTTAGCATCCTAGTCCCCCCATAAGCTACCAAGGGTGAAAAGTTTATCTCTCTATATGATCCCTGTATAATGCTGTACTCTTTGATCTGTTCTTAAGCTTCTTCAGCTTCTCGTAACTGTTGTGTTTGCCTCTAAAAGCAGTGTTTCTCAAGCTTTAGATCCTTGAACAAGCATTAAGTACAAATTTACTAGTACCCTTATCCCATCTTTCCAAAAGATTGTTCTATGCCCCCTTATTGTATGGTCATCAAAGAATAAAAGATGAGAATAGAAGGTGCTTCTTGTTGGTGGGGGTGTCTGCAGAGTCCCAAGGCAGAACAGTCCTGATGTGGTGCAGGGCATCACACAGAGGAGGGGGCTGAGTGGCTAGCTCAGGTCTGTCTTCCTCCTCACCTAAAGCCAGCAGTCCCATCCTATATAACCCATTAGTCCATGACATAACTTGGTCACCTCTTAAAAGCCCAACTTCCAATACTGCCACATTGGGGATTCAGTTTCAATGTGAGTGTTATAGGGGACACACATGCAAACCATTGCAGAGTTATAACAGTTTTAATACAGGATTCTAGTTGTGTTTGTATTTAGTATAATACTTTGGATAAAATCATGCTCTTCATTTTTCACTATTGACTTTTTTCTTACTCTCATAGGAAACGTGTCCCTGATCACCACCCCTGTTAAGCATTCCCACGTGCTGTCGATCTTTGGACCAGTTTCTAGCAAAGTTGTGTTTGAAAGATACTCTATTAAAGAAGACTGTGGAATCTGTTTATCGGTGCCCATTATATCCTTAAGTTTGGATATTTAGCTGACCTTCGCTTTAACATAGGTCTAATTTATTTGCCGTGTCATTTTCCATACAAATCAGTTGATTTAAAAAAGTTCATTTCTCATACTGTGCATTAAAATAAAAATTTGAACAATTACTTGGTTCTTATGTCTTATATGTGTGTATTCTGTTTGAACTCTACTTAATGGAAATTAATGATTATTTTCAATATGGCATTTTCCAGCTTAATGATTGGCCATCTACATTTTTGAAATAATTATCTTGATTAATATAAGTCCAAGTCAAATGTGATAAACACGCCATATATTAATCTTTTGGTTTTGTTGCTGGGCCATAAGAACACTCAATCATGGCTGGGTGCGGTGGCTCATGCCTGTAATCCTAATATTGGGAGGCCAAGGCAGGTGGATCACTTGAGGTCAGGAGTTCAAGACCAGCCTGGGCAACATGGTGAAACCCCATCTCTACTAAAAATACAAAAATTAGCTGGGCATAGTGGTGGGCGCCTATAATCCCAGTTGCTTGGGATTTAATTTACCCATTTAATTTTGTTTAGTGAAAATGCCATAAACTAGTACTCATTTAATTTGGTGTAGTCTAAGTGCTGTCTCTTGCATTGAAAAAAATTACGATGCTTTCTGTGATGTGTTTTTTTTTTTTTTGAGATGGAGCCTCACTCTGTCCACCAGGCTGGAGTGCAGTGTGGTGCGATCTTGGCTCACTGCAACCTCCACCTTGCAGTTTCTAATGATTCTTCTGCCTCAGCTTTTCGAGTAGGTGGGATTACATGGTAGTCCACCACCATGCCCGGCTAATTTTTGTATTTTTAGTAGAGAATGGGATTTTGCCATGTTGGCCAGGCTGGTCTCTATGTTGTATGATGTTTTTAAGCTTGAAAAAGTCATATTTTAAAGTTGCAAGATGATGTGCTCTAAGTATCTTTTTTTTTCAAGACAGGATCTCACTCTGTCCTTCAGGCTAGAGTACAGTTGTGTGATCACGGCTCACTACAGCCTCTGCCTCCTGGGCTCAAGCGATTCTTTCACCCTCCCAAGTAGCTGGGACTATAGGTGCATGGCATCATGCCTGGTTGATTTTTTTTTTTTTTTTAATTGTAGAGACAGGTTTTGCTGTGCTGCCCTGGCTGGTTCTCAGCACCTCTTTCCAATGCTTTGTAAGGTAATTTCTCTGAAGAAGAGTATGGTTAGACTTAAGTATTGTTATTGATTGGGTTTTTTTTTTTTTTAAGGGTTTTTTGTTTTGGGTAAGTGGATAAGAGAATGAGAATGGGTGTAAGTATGGACTGAGTTCGCTGGTTTAAAGGCAACTCTAGATTTGGAGGCTGTTAATACTGCATCCGTATGTAGCAGAATACACAAGAAGTAAGAGACCAACAGGTTGAGTTTTTATTGGACATCTGTGCTAACATGGAGGGACATTCCCATAAAGGAGCAAAGGATTTTTAAAGAAACACTGATAGACCAAACAATTTTGTGGGAAGGGGGGGGGGAAGTTGAGACATGTAAGAATTTGTCTCAATATTTTAATATTTGTAGATGTGATTAAAACTGGAAGAATGTGGTATTAGAATTACACTGATTGAATAGCAATACCATCTGCTGTGTGATTTTTTTTAAGTGCTTTATCACACATTAATTGTAATCCTCACAACTGAGGTAGGTGGAGCAGGAGAGCATATGACAACCCACAAAGGATGTGGTGGGACAGGTGAGTTTATCCTGAGGGGCCAGATGGCATGGAGTTAGGCATATTTTCTCCAAAGACCTTAAAACAGATTGGCCAATAAAAAATATTAAAAAGGTAAAAATATGCAAACTACTATATTGAAGAAAATAGCCATACCTTGCCTTCATATATTTCAAAGCCCTTACTGATTGTTGTCTTTAGAAAAATCTCAAGTTCACAAATATCTTTCCAGTTTCAGAGGTAAGTATGACCTAGACCTAACTCCTGTTAACGGTTTTAGGATGGAGTTTTTACAATTTTAGATTTGGGGTACATGTGCTGCTTTGTTACAAGGGTATTATGTGTGATGGTGAGGGTTGAGCTTCTAGCATATCCATCACCCAAATATTGGACACCGGACCCAGTAGGTAACTTCAACCCTCATGCCTATCTTACCCTCCACACTTTGGAGTCCCCAGAGTCCATTTCGTCCATATTTGTGTCCGCATGTCACTTTTGTTTAGTTCCCACTTAAAAATGAGAACGTGATATTTGATTTTCTGCTTCTGTGTTCATTTAGGATAATGGCCTCTAGCTCCATCCGTGTTGCTGCAAAGGACATTTGTTTTTCTTTTTTATGGCTGTGTTGTATTCCATTGGTGTGTATGTACCACATTCTTTTTTTTTTTTTCTTTTTTATTATTATACTTTAAGTTTTAGGGTACATGTGCACAACGTGCAGGTTAGTTACATATGTATACATGTGCCATGCTGGTGTGCTGCACCCACTAACTCGTCATCTAGCATTAGGTATATCTCCCAATGCTATCCCTCCCCCCTCCCCCCACCCCACAACAGTCCCCAGCGTGTGATGTTCCCCTTTCTGTGTCCATGTGTTCTCATTGTTCAATTCCCACCTATGAGTGAGAATATGTGGTGTTTGGTTTTTTGTTCTTGTGATAGTTTACTGAGAATGATGATTTCCAATTTCATCCATGTCCCTACAAAGGACATGAACTCATCATTTTTAATGGCTGCATAGTATTCCATGGTGTATATGTGCCACATTTTCTTAATCCAGTCTATCATTGTTGGACATTTGGGTTGGTTCCAAGTCTCTGCTATTGTGAATAGTGCCACAATAAACATACGTGTGCATGTGTCTTTATAGCAGCATGATTTATAGTCCTTTGGGTATATACCCAGTAATGGGATGCCTGGGTCAAATGGTATTTCTAGTTCTAGATCCCTGAGGAATCGCCACACTGACTTCCACAATGGTTGAACTAGTTTACAGTCCCACCAACAGTGTAAAAGTGTCCCTATTTCTCCACATCCTCTCCAGCACCTGTTGTTTCCTGACTTTTTAATGATTGCCATTCTAACTGGTGTGAGATGATATCTCATTGTGATGTACCACATTCTTAAAAGTCCAGTCCACTTTTGGTGGCTTGTGGTTGGCTTTGTGATTTTGCTAGTGTAAATAGTGCTGCGACTGCAGGTGTCTTTGATAAAATGATTTCCGTGGGATAGATACACAGTAGTGGGATTGCTCGGTCAAATGGTAGTTGTAACTATTTATTTGAGATACCTCCATACTGTTTTCCATAAAGGTGGAGCTAATTTACATTCCCACAAACAGTGTATGAGTGACGGATGGAGTTTCTTTTAACTCAGAGATAGCAAGTATGGAAGCAGTGGGTTTTTGTTTTCACAAGACTTGTGACATGAAAAGAGAAATTTGGAATGTAAATTAATTGTTACTGCATAGAAATTTGTCTAAGTGCTTAGGAACTTAAAATCTATCCTAGTTAACCTTCAGTTTTTCTCTGAGGAAGGATAATTTGGGTTTGGTATTTTACACTCCTCAACCCCAAATCCAGTCTTTGCCTGCACTGGGGCTGTGCAGGCTTACCCCTGCTAGCTGCCTTGCTCACAGCTCCTTATGGATTGGTTTTCTATTGCTTTAACTGAGGGTGCACTGGCAGGAGATAGGGAGACAATCTATTCTCTTCCTGCCTTTGCTCTTTGTCTCTGGAGGTAACTGCATCCCTGCAAGATCTGCTACTATGTCTTCGTTAGGCAGCACCTCTTACCATGGCTCTTAGCTCTTAATGGATTTGGGAAATGATTTTCTTTTTTTTTTTTTGAGACGGAGTCTCGCTCTGGCCCGGCCAAAACGTTTTTTTTACCCTGTTTAGTCTTACAGGTGATAACAGCTGCTGCTATTGTGAGTGTCTGGGTTGCTATTACTTGTTTTTTTCCCCCACTTCACCCTGTCTTCACTAAAGTCTCTCCATGTAATCACATGGGGTGAATGCATTTTCTTGCCAGGGCTCCGAATAATAGAAGTCAACAAAATACTCTGTACAAAACCCTTTATAAAAGTCTGCTGTGTGCCGTATTAGCATATTAGATCAATAGAAGATATTAAGAGAACCTTTTTAAAAATCACAATTACTGGCCGGGCGCGGTGGCTCACGCCTGTAATCCCAGCACTTTGGCAGGCCGAGGCAGGTGGATCACGAGGTCAGGAGATCGAGACCATCCTGGCTAACATGGTGAAACCCTGTCTCTACTAAAAAATACAAAAAATTAGCCAGGTGTGGTGGCGGGCACCTGTAGTCCCAGCTACTCGGGAGGCTGAGGCAGGAGAATGGCGTGAACCCGGGAGGGGCGCCTGTAGTCCCAGCTACTCGGGAGGCTGAGGCAGGAGAATGGCGTGAACCCGGGAGGTGGGGCTTGCAGTGAGCTGAGATCACGCCACTGCACTCCAGCCTGGGTGACAGAGCAAGACTCCATCTCAAAAAAAAAAAAAAGAAAAAATCAGAATTACTATAGAACTTTTCAGATTCTCAATATGAAGACTAAAGATAACCCTGATTTCAAATTTGTGATTTTAAAATTGTGAGCAGTATATAATAGCTCTTTTCAAAGGAGTATTGAAAAGATTACATGAATTAACTTTAGAACCTGAGGAAAGTACCTGGCCTCTAGCAGCGTTCCACGTGTCAGCCTTTCCTCCTGTCCCATGGGCTGGGTACATGATAAAATCTCCCATCTTCAAGAAGTGTGGTGGAACTAACTGTACAAGGCACTGATGATTCAATGATAAGTCCTGCTTAGTATTTGCCAGAAGTGGACGGTCCACAAGGAAAGAAAGGCATGCATACCTTGTTGTTTTCAAATAGTAGTAGTATCCTTTCTATGGTACGGAGATGACAAATAGTATGCTTAAAAAAAAAAAAAAACAGGCAAAAGGCAGAGTAAAATTATCTAACAGGACCGACGTCTTCAGTCACATGCCTCCTGCCCCTTAAGAAACGGATTTCATGCCAAGGAATAGTCCCGTGTTTTCAAGTACTTTGGTGATTAATTCTAGAATAATAGATAAGGATGAAAGTATATTCATTTAGAAATTTGCAAATGCATCCTTGGTAATCATGTCTGTGTGTTTTCCTATTTTGGTAAGCCAGGAGCATTTGACCAAATTGTGGTTATATTTCTTACATTCAGGACTTTTAGATATTATGGTTGAAAATTTTCTGAAGAGAAAACAGCTTTTTTGTTCTATTGCCACTGTTTTTTTTCTCCTTCAAATCATGGGATGCCACTTTAAAAAAAAATCAAGGAATTACACTTGCTTTTAGGGTAAATATAGGTGTTGTGCTGCATGGTGTAGTACTTAGTAAAAGAACATTTTATATAAACCTTCACTGTCACATGCCAGGCACTGTTCTATGCATTTTATACACAGTAATGGGTTTAATCCTTACAGTGCTCTGCAGAAACTGTTATGATTTTACTGATGAGCAACTGAGGCACATAGATGATAACTGACTAGTACGTGGCAAGCCTAGGATTTGAACCCAGGTAGTCTGAAGGGCCATGCTCTTAGCCGCTATGCTACATTGCTTCTGGTTCACTGTGTTGGATATGTGCCTTTAGTTTGAGTTCAGTTGATTATTAGGGCACAAACCCACTTTTAAGTGAAAATTACAAACTCTAGAGATGATGCATTTTAGGACAAAATAAAGAAGCAAACTTGGTTGCTGATTCATTTCAATTGATTCCATGTTAAAGATTTCAGTTGGCATCACTCTTATTTATGGAATCTAAAATCCTATGTAAACTTCTGGAAGACATTTTCCCTTTGATGCATTAACACTTTGAGTTTCAAGACTTAAAAATCAGGAGCAAAAAAGTTACATTTGGTGCTTCAACATTTTCTTATTTTACTTTCTAATTGTGTCAACATTTCCAGAAACTATTAGAAGGGTTATAGAAATGTAAGTATGCATTTATATACTTTATAAAATTGATTGAAGGCCGGTTGCGGTGGCTCACACCTGTAATCCCAGCACTTTGGGAGGCCGAGGTGGGCAGATCACGAGGTCAGGACGAGACCATCCTGGCTAACACAGTGAAACCCTGTCTCTACTAAAAATACAAAAAATTAGCTGGGCGTGGTGGCGGGCGCCTGTAGTCCCAGCTACTTGGGAGGCTGAGGGAGGCTGAGGCAGGAGAATGGCGTGAACCCGGGAGGCGGAGCTTGCAGTGAGCCGAGATAGCGCCACTGCACTCCGGCCTGGGCGACACGGCAAGATTCTGTCTCAAAAAAAAAAAAAAAAAATTGATTGAAAATCTACAGTGAAAACATTTTTGGAAAGCAAATTCAACAGCGAACACTTGACCATACCATTTGAGAAATGTTCTTTGTGTATTGACTGTTTTAGAAGAAAACAGCTTGATTATGGGCCAAAATGTTTATAATTTGACTACTGATTCAGACCAGTTAGCTCTTTAGATGACAGTTCTGTATGGATCAATTGGCTTCACTCTGTTTTATGGTTATAGTCTGCAACTACAGAATGGCCGATTAATCTTGGGAAGGGTAAGACAGGGTCAAAAGAAAGTCAGAAATCTATAAACCTTGCTATAGATTAAGCTTAGAATGCAAGTTCTGTTGACAAAAGTTTCTAGCATCAGCTGAGTATAATTTGGCTTCCGTCATTAGGAATGAGATAAATCCTAACTGTCCAACAGAAATATGGACTTGTTTCTAAAGGAGTTAAATATGTTTGACCTGAAAGTTTAAACCTATTACATTAAATGATTAAAGGGACCTTTTTTGGCAGTCTGATCAATGGGTTGCAAATGCTCTGCAGATGGGAGGTGACGATAGGAAGGAATTATGCAACATCATCCTTCCTCTAGTTTAGCAGGAAATATTTCTGGTAGGAAGACATACATGAAAATAGGTCTGCTGTGTAATGTCATTTTAGAACCAAACTTTGTTGGGTTAAGATGCTTTTACAGAAAACATCCTTTTAAAAACTTGGTACTGTATGTTTTAGTTAAGATAACACTTTTTGTGTCCTTGTTTGCTGAAAACGTTCAAGTACATAAAGAATTGTATTATTAAATTACCCACTGACAACAATTTCTTTAAAGTTTATATATTTGTGGGAAGGTCACAATTTACATACTTCCAAAAAACAAAATACCTTGGTTTATACATTGTCAAAACAGTCTGTAAAAATCAAAACAAATTGAAACAAAGGCAGAGATACTAGGCGAAAGAGGCAGAGACTTCCTATATACACTACAACTTCCTATTCAAATTTCAAAGTGCTTGTTTCAAGAGAACACATTTCTCACCTACTACCTTTAAACTAACATGCTTCTGGAAATGTGGTTTTCCTCCAAGGACAGGGATTCAATTTAGCTCAGCTCTGGCTCATTAGTGTGAATAAACAGAAGGGCTTTGCTTCAGGGAGGTAGACAGGAATCACAACAAGGCTTGACTTTAATGAGACCACATTACCACAGAGGTTCTCTTTTCCAGATGACTTCCAACATTGTCAGTGACAGTCAACTGTTGGGAGCAGATCTTGGGACAAACCTTTTAGGGAAAATGAACTAAATCAGCATGAGCCACTGTCAAGTTTAAGGTGACAGCTGAAGGCTGGGTGTGGTGGCTCATGCCTGTAACCCCAGCACTTTGGGAGGCTGAAGCAGGAGCATCGCTTGAGCCCAGGAGTTTGAAACTAGCTTGGGCAACATAGCAAGACCTCATCTCTACGAAAAAATTAAAGACTTAGCCAGGTGTGCACATCTGTAGTACCAGTTACTGGGCAGGCTGAGGCGGGAGGAAGGCTTGAGCCCAGTAGTTCGGGGCTGCAGTGAGCCATGATTGTGCCACTGCACTCCAGCCTAGCAACAGAGTGAGACCTTGTCTCTAATAATAATAAAAGGGGCAGCTGGAGTCCACCAAGAAGTATTGTCCATCAGGGATCTTTTCAGCAGGCACTAAACTGCTGGGGAAAGAGTTTCATCTTGAGCCTTTACAACAACAAACAACTTTTTTCTGTGAATCTGACTGATTGCCTAGGTAGAAATGTCCTTTTCGGTGGCCTCAGTGATACATTGATACTGTTTATGGTCATTTACAGTAAAGAAAATATGTCCTGCAAAGAGACAGACCACCAGAATATTTAGTTCTATGGCAAATACCTTATTTGAGGAGCTCATGAGCTTCATGACCAGTCACTTCTGGAGAGTGCAGGAGTTCAGAGTGTCCCAGCCCCTTTTGCTCTTCAGTGTTTCAAAATACATGTGTGGAGAAGCTGTTTTCTTGCAAAGAAGTTATGATCTCTGGATTGTCATGCCATCATTGGCACACAACTCCCCTCTGGAAGAGGAGCTGTTTGCCAGAAATATTTTCTCAGTGTGATTTATGGCATTCCACCTGGCTCTCTCCATCAGTCTCTACTAGCAGAGCCACTCCCAAATGACCCAGAGCCATCCTTTCCACTCCAATGGAGAGGCTTCCAGAACATGCTGCAGTTGGGTCCTTGGCATTGACTTGCAACTGAAGCTCCTCAGGAGTTGGTAGGAGGAAGTAGAGGGACTGGTGCCTGTAGCTCCTGGCTTTCCTCTCTGACCAACGCATAGCGCCTGGCTTTTCTAGGGTCGGGCTCTGGCGTCTCCTCTGCCCATCTCCCCACACGGCGCACACCTTTGGCCACCTTGGGTGCGTTCCTGCAAGGATTGTGGTCATAGATGACCAGCTTCAGACTTGACAGGTGCGCCAGGCTGGGGAAGTAACGGATGCTGTTCCAGTCCACATCAATCACCTCCAGGAAGGGCATGTGAAGCAGCACAGTGGGAAAGTCAGTTAGCCGGTTGCCCGAGAGCCAGATGGTCCTCAGCTCCTGGAGGCGCCGGAGCTGGCCTGGCAGCAAACGCAGGGCGTTGGAGCCGGCATGCAGAGTCTTAAGGAGACTCAGCTCACAGACCACATCCGGCAGCTGGGTGAGGCAGTTGGCCTCGATCCACAGGGTCCTGAGGTTCTGGAGCAGGCTCAGCTCACTGGGGAGGTCGCAGAGTTTGTTGTTGCCCAGGTAGAGGATGCAGAGCTGTTTCAAGGTGCACACCACCTGGGGCAGAGCCTTGAAGTTGTTGAAATCCAAGGCCAGAATCTGCAGGTTCTGTAGCTGCCCCAGCTCCGGAGGCAGGCTATTGAGGTGGTTGTCGCTCAGGTAGAGCTTGACCAGCTCCCTGAAGGAGCACACGTGCAGGGGGAAGCGGCGTAACTGGCTCCCACTCAGATCCACCATCTTGTCCAGCGGCATCTCACGGAGGTCCCTGACCACATAGTTCTGGCAACGGTCAGCAGGGATGAAGGCCACGAGGGCCCTGATGGTGTTCCCCATGCGGAGGCTGGGGGCATGGCGAGCCCCAGAGGACAGACTCACTGAGCGGGGCTGGCTCAGCTGACTGCTCTGGGGCCTATCCTACCCTCCCATTATAACTTGGGGATTGCATGACAAAAGCCAGTCACTTTGACAGAGAAAAGTGCTCCTGATAGCAACTTGAGTGTCCGGCGACAGCGCAACAGTCCGGCAGGGGCTGGGAGGCCATGTCTGACTCACATGCTTGCCTTTAATCACCTAAGCCCCAATCCCCTTTATCAACCTTTTTTCATTTCAAGCTGAAAATAGCTTTGCTGTTTTTTTCCCTAATGATAAAATATTAACACATTACATAAAGGTGTAAAAGAAGAAAATGAAAAACACCCATAGTTCTATTACCCAGAGATAAATACTGTACACATTTGCATGTGTCCTCTAGTCTTTTCGCTATAAGTAATCATTTGTTTTTTAAAATTGCACTTTAGGAGCTTTTTTTTTTTTTTTTTTTGACAGGGTCTCATTCTGTCACACAGGCGGGAGTGCAGTGGTGCAATCTTGGCTCACTACAGCTTCTACCTCCCTGGCTCCAGCAATCCTCACACCTCAGCCTCCTGAGTAGCTGGGACTACAGGTGCACACCACCGTGCCCAGCTAATTTTTGTATTTTTTGTAGAGATGAGGTTTCGCCATGTTGCCCAGGCTGGTCTTGAACTCCTGGGCTCAAGAGATCTGCCCGCCCTGGCCTCTCAAAATGCTGGGATTACAGGCGTGAGCCATGGTACTTGACCAGGAACCTTATTTTTTAATCATGACGTATCATGGACATATTTTCATGTTTGCAGATATCTATGCAATTATTTTAAACCCCTGCATAGTATTCCATTACATGGATGTGCAGTAATTTAAACAGTTTTCTGTGGTTAGGCATCTAGGTTGTTTACAAAGCATGACTATTATAAACATCCATGTGCATACAGATGTGAGCAGCAATCCACTCATTTCTTTAGAAACCGTCCTTAGAAGTGTTGCTGGAGCAGGCCAGGTGTGGTGGCTCACGCCTGTAATCCCAGCACTTTGGGAGGCCAAGGTGAGCCAATCACTTAAGCCCAGGAGTTTGAGGTCAGCTTAGGCTACATGGTAAAACCCCATCTCTACTAAAAAAAACAAAAATTAGCTGGGTGTGGTGGCACACACCTATAATCCCAAGTACTTGGGAGGCTGAGGCAGGAGAATGGCGTGAACCCAGGAGGCGGAGCTTGCAGTGAGCCGAGATTGCGCTACTGCACTCCAGCCTGGGCGACAGAGCAAGACTCCATCTCAAAAAAAAAAAAAAAAAAAGTGTTGCTGGATCATAGATATGCATCATTTACAGGTTTTTCATTGATGGCTCCTCTGTACCCCACCAAATCTGAGCCAGTACACACACCCACCAGCAATGGTTACAGGTTTCTAATTTCTCATGTCTTCATTCTTATCAGATGATATCTTTCCACAGTTTAAAAACTTGCCTTTGACAAAAGATAAGTAGAAAAGCAGAAGAAAGAGAAGCAAGCTAGCCTTCTGCATGTTAAATAAATTCGGATGTATTCCTACAGTGCACCTTTGTCAGGTATGTTTGACCACCCATTAAAGGTTTGTGTTTCCCTTCCACAGTGTCCAGTTGTTCCAGACAAGCAGCTGTCCAGCCAGGACAATTTCCTAGTGCTGGTCTACAGGGGAAACTCTTCAAGTTCTGGCCAAAGTAATGTGGGCAGAAGTGTTAGATGTCACCTCTAGACTTGGTTCATTGTAAAACAAACCTTTTGCCCTTCTCCACACTCTCCTTCCCCATCTACTGGCTGGATGTTGTCACCCAGAGTGACTATAGCAGCCACCAAGTATATGGAAGTCATATGTTGCAGGTGGCAGGGCCGTGGTCATCCTAGATTCCTGAATAAGTGCTAAGAGCAAAACATCTCCTTACCCTCCTCACTCCCACTTGATCCCCAATAGGATTGAGGTAAATGAGAAATAAATGTTAATTATGTGAAGTCATCGAGATTGGGGGCTTATCTTTTATACTACTTTATACATACAGCAGTTGCTAAAAATAAGGAGGCAAATCCACATATACTGATATGGGAAGTGATTCCGGATAAATAAAGTAGGGAGGGAAAAAAGCAAATTTCAGAATAGTTTTTTAATGATTCCCATCTGTGAAAAAATATATCTTTGTGTGTGCATAAAAATATCTGTAAGAAATAATGGTGATTAACTCTGGAAAATCTACCTGAGGGTTTGTGGGTGATAGGGATGCTGACTTTTCCATTTACATCCTTTTGTACTCTTGATTTTTTTAAAAAACTAGAGGCACTTATCATTTTAAATTTAAAAACTCTAGTCCAAAAACAACCAATCCATCAGCCTACCTGCTCTCTGGATAGAGTTTCAGGGTGGGTGAGGGAGCCTGGCACACCCTTGCTCCGCGTCCAATGACTTTGCTGCTGAATTGCTTGTAACGGACCACACTGTTGAGAAGCACCTCGTGAATGGCGATTCTACAGAGCTGTTTGGTGATGCAGCAGAGCTACCCACTTTCTGCTCACAGGTCATGACTGAAGCCAGTGTTCTTCCTGGACTTTCTACACATTGAATGTCAAGGGCTATTATCTTGAGCCCTCTTCTTGCTTTGCTTATTTGTATTAAAATAACTGGCCTGTCAACTCTGCTTTACTGCTATATTTAGCATGGTCAGTGGTGACCACAAATGGTTATGAAGCAGCTGCCCTAGTGTCATCCCTAGAAATGATAATGATAATAATGTTGCTACCAGGTGCCTTATATATAATCTATTCTTGCAACACCAGCCAGATAAATATGTTTTACCTTACTTTTCAGATGAGAAAACTGTGTGTGGTTCAGAGAGGTTTAATGATATTATCAAATATTGACTGAACACCTACTATGCTTTAGATGCAGGTAATCAAATGAGTAACAAGATAGATAAAACCCTGATCTCACACAGTGTACAATTCTATCAGGGTAGGCTCCTGTTGAACCATACAAGGTGACAAACTTTGCCCTGCCAAACGGAATTTCCATGCAGCACTTTAGATAACAAAACACTTGAAGAAGATCTCCTACGTGAAAATCAGAGATTGAAATAAGAATGTTTAAAATCAAGACAAAAAAATGAAGTGAATAGAAGAAAATAATAAACTATAACATAATATTTTCAGAGAGTTAATGATAGCACTTGCGTGCTGGGTGTGGTATTATTAGGTCATTTAATCCTTACAGCAATCCTAAAATGTATGTACTGTTATTGTTTCCACTTGATAAAGAAAGAAATTGGGGAACAAGGAGTTTATGCAACCTGAACAAGCTAGCGCGCAGCCGAGCAGGGATCTGAACCCAGATCATCTTGCTCTACAGTCTGTGTTCCAAATACTGTGCCTTTCTTGGATGACATAACATCCATAAAAAGAGTAGGATGCTATTAGAAAGAAAGAAATATTCTAAGAATAAGAAAGGGCTCTTGGAAATAAAGATATGAAAAAAGCACAATTAAAAATAAAATAGAAGAAAAACAGAAGGTGTTTCCTCAAAAAATTAAAAATAGAATTACCAAATGATCCAACAATTCCACTTCTGGGTATATATCCAAAGAAAATAAAAATAAAAACAGGATCTTTTTTTTTTTTTTTTTGAGACAGAGTTTCACTCTTGTTGCCTAGGCTGGAGTGCAATGACACGATTTCGGCTCACTGCAACCTCCGCCTCCCATGTTCAAGTGATTCTCCTGCCTCAGCCTCCTGAATAGCTGGGACTACAGGGGTGTGCCACTATGCCCAGCTTTTTTTTTTTTTTTTGTATTTTTCGTAGAGATGGAGTGCACACCATTTTGGCCAGGCTGGTCTTGAACTCCTGACCTCAGGTGATCCACCTGCCTCTGCCTCCCAAAGTGCTGGGATTACAGGTGTGAGCCACCACACCCGGTTAAGATGGGAAATTTTTGCATATTTTACCACAATTTAAAAAATAAAATTAAAAAATATAATAGAAGGCTTGAGAACATCTCATCAAAAGTTGAAGAAAAGGCTGGGTGTGGTGGCTCATGCCAATAATCCCAGCAATTTGGGATGCTAAGGTGAGAGAAGTTTAAGACCAGCCTGGGCAACACAGGGAAACCCTGGCTCTACAAAAAATTAAAAAATTAACTAGGTGTAGTGGCGTGCTCACCGGTAGTCCCAGCTACTTGGGAGGCTGAGGTGGGAGGACTGCTTGAGCCTAGGAGGTTGACCAGTCAGCCATGATTGTGACATTGTGCTCCAGACTGAGTGACAGAGTGAGACCCTGTCTTAAAAATAAAATTAAATTTAAAAAGAGAGACAGGCTGGGCATGGGGGCTCACGCCTGTAATCCCACTCTTTGGGAGACCGAGGTGGGGGATCACTTGAGGTCAGGAGTTCGAAACCAGCCTGGCCAACGTGGTGAAACCCTCTCTCTACTAAAAATACAAAAATTAGCCGGGCGTGGTGGCAGGCACCTGTAGTCCCTGCTAGCTGGGAGGCTGAGGCAGGAGAGTCGCTTGAACCCAGGAGACAGAGGTTGCTTGAACCCAGGAGACAGAGGTTGCAGTGAGCCAAGATCATGCCACTGCACTCCAGCCTGGGTGACAAGAGCAAGACTTCATCACACACACACACACACGCACACGCACAAAAGAAAAAAAAGGGAGAGACAACGATGAAAGAAGTACATGAAAGAGTTTTCTAGGGCTGACATATATGAGTTCTCTGATGAACTTGTCAACTTTGTAGCACAATAAATGAAAAAGACCAACACCACTGTAAAATTTCAGCACTCTGGAAAGAAGAGCCCAAAGGTTTCTAGATAGAAGACAACAGAGTACACACACACACAGCTAGAAACGAGAACATCATTGGGCATTTCAGTACCACTATTGGAAACTAGAAGATAACAGAGCAATGCCTTCAAAATTCTAAGGTAAAATAATCTCCAGTATAGAATCTCACACCCAGTAAAAGTAGGATTTAGAATGATTTTCTTTTCAAGCAGAAAAGATGTCAAAAAGTTTCCCTCTCATGCACAAATTCTCAGAAAGCTACTTAAGGAAGTGCTTTATCAAAATGGAAGACACAGAATCCAGGAACCAACAGCCCCAGCAAAGGAAACAAGAAGATTTCAGGTGACAGCTGGCTATGCTGGCGGTGAAGGCGGAGCAGGGAGAGCCACAGGAGCCTGGCCAAGAGTGCATCGCTGTCCCGAGGAGTGCAGTGTGGAGCGCCCCGGTTGGAAGGTGTCTCCGAAGGACCCACGGGAGCACCTCCAGGAAAGGGCCAGTATTTGTGCATCTGTTGCAACAGAAGGCATGTATCTGCCTAAGGGGAACTGAAAACAGAACCACTGAGCGAAACAGTCTCGTCCTCCTTCTGTGCCCAAGCCTGGAGGGTCTAGGAGCAGGGGCCAGGGGAGAAGACGTGGAGCAAAGAAGGAAAACAGCAGGCTCTGTATCCCCCTCCCCTTCACCCCCGCTACTCAGCCCGGAGACCCTCTCCCCAACCCCAGCTCTTTCTCGTTGTTGATCCCTAAGCCACAGGCCAGGCCTCACCTGGGAGAAGGAAGGAAGTTTTAAATTGAATGAGATGCTAAAAGTTTGGATGAGACTTTAAAGTTTTGACATACATTTGACTGAAAATTTTAATACCCGAAAGTGTCGAGAAAGCTGTACAACCTACCCAAGATGTGATCCAGGGGTCGGGGTGTGGGTAGGGGTTTCATAGAATGTGTGTGAGGAAGGAGGAGGAGGGACAAGGCTGATGGTGGATTATTCCCTACTGGGTTCAGCCCCCATATGAAACCCGCATCGTCGGGAATAAAATGATCAAGGTGACCCTCAGAAAAACTGAAAACAGCCTATACCAAAAGGAAAACACACTCGTGCGTACACACCTACATCCCAAAGAAAAAACAATGCATATTAGTGATATCGTAACTATATATATAAGTTTTCGCCCATGGTTCCTGGCTCATAACTCCCATAGCCCCTGTCACAGTCCTTTGTTGTAATGTTGAGGCACTTTAGGTGCCAAGAGCAGGTCTAAGGAAACAGAAGCTCAGGACTCGAATCTGCTTGTGGGTCATAAGACCCTCATTCCAGAAAGGGTTTTGCTTCATTCCCTGGAGGAAAGAAGGCTGCACAGAGTCCAAGAAGAATCTGAACAGATGGGCCTTGCTGGGTTTAGATCATATCCTTTTTGTCAAATCTCATTTCTAAATGATTGTCAATCATGAAGATTGTCAATCATGAAGATTGTCAATCATGAAGATTGTCAATCAGTGAAGTCTCCATAAAAGGCCCAAGAGGAGAGGGTCCAGGGAGCTTCCAGCTAGCTAAGCGCGTGGAGGTTCCTGAAGGGCTGTGCCCAGGGAGGACGTGGAAGCTCCACACCCCTTCCCCCATGCTGTGCCCTATGCATCTCTTCATCTCTACCCTTTGTGATATCCTTTATAATAAACCGGTAACTGCAAGTGTTTCCCTGAGTTCGGTGAGCTGCTCCAGCAAATTAATTGAACCTAGAGGGCGGTTGTGGGAACCTTAACTTGAAGCTGATCAATCAGAAGTTCTGGAGGCTGGAACTTGTGACTCGTGTCTGAAGGCGGGGTGGCGCTTTTGGGGACTGAGCCCTCAACCTGTGGGATCTGATACTCTCACCAGGAAGGCAGAGTTGGAATGGAATTGGAGGACACCCAGCTGATTTCCACTGCAACGCTGCTCCCTTGCTGGCTGGTGGGGAGAAATCTCCACACATATTTTGGGGTCACAGAAGTCTTCTTTGTTGATGATTGTTGTGGTGGTGTTGGGAGAACAGAGGAAAAATAGGGCTTGAATTTTTACAAACCGTATTGCAAAAGATAGAAGAAAAAGTGTTGAAAGTAAAAACCATAAAGTGAACTGTTCTGTTTTCCAGTTAGTCAGCTTTGAGGTGCAGCTGGCTTCTCCTTGGTTTAAAATCATGGTGACGCTGATGCTGGACACAGAGAAGAGCCCCACAGGCAGAATCCTGGGCCTTCCAGAAGAGCAGTCCAGAAGCAACCTTGTCCCACCAAGCTTGGGTCTGACCATTTGCACCTGTTGGATTTGAATTCAACTGCTCCATGGAGGTGTTTGCCCAAACCTTGGCTTCAAGCTAATTAATGTTGGGTCTTCAAATACTTCAAGGTGCAGTTCTAGTGTTACAGTTCTTAATTTCAGCGCAATAGAAACTGTCTTTGAATGATTTGGATGAAAAGGAATTTATTATGTTAGGAAGCTCACAGACCTCCTTGCCTGTGCTGTGGAACTGGGCTTGGATGCTATAGCTGGGACCAAAGTCCTAAATTGCAGTGCAGAACTGGTCTTGTGATGGTATCATTGTCACTGCCTCTGGGCCCAGCCCCCCACTGCTTGTACTTCCGAGCCCACTGGTGCTGGCTGCTGCCTCCGAACCTGGTGTAGCCCCCACCATGGCTACCTCCCTCTTCAGAAGGGATTTTGCCTAAGTCCTGCTTTTTTGTATCACTAAGAGTTGAATCGGGGCCAACGGGGAAGACTCATTGATCACATGCCGCAGCTGAGCCACAAGGGAGGCTGGGGTTCAGCTTTCGGCTTCTATAATGCGGAGTTGTCATTTTCCACCACCAAGATTTATAAGGTGAGAAGCTCCCCAAACGTGGAGAGCTGTCAGTCAAAAAAAAAATCACAGATACTCACCACAACTAGCCTGTAGTTCACTCCCATCATCCCACAGCTGTCAAGGAGGGTCTTCCTGACCATGCTATTTAAGCTAGGCTGCCTCTACTCCCAGTTTCTCTCCATGTTAGCACTTATCACAATTTGTGATGGTTTTATTTCTTAGTTCTCTTGCTTCCCTGCTGGACTGTAAACTCCCTGAGGCCAGGGATTGTGCCAATCCTGTTCACTGTTGCATTTTTAGCACTAACAACAGCACTTCAAACAATATGGGCATTCATCTATTCAATAAATAAGGGGTGCACAATGGACACAATTTCCTGCCCTCCCAGAGCATCTGAATGAATGAATGAATGAACAAAAGATGCATTACTCTTAGCTTACTAATGTAAACTCAAATCGCTGGCATCCAGTGACTTGACAATATATATTTATGAATAAATAACATTTTTCTACTCTTGATTATCATTGAGATAAAGGAGAGTGGTTCTGAGAAGAACTTGTAAAATTTATCAGAAGAGTTAATAAGATATATACAGGGTTGGAAGAACCCAGAAACGAATTCACATTTGGTTGTTAACTATAAGATAAGCTCCAATCTTTGACTTTACAGAAAACAATGCGAGGGAGGAAGCTAAAGACTTCCCCTGAGACTTTAGCCTACCACTATGAAAATGTGCTGAGCCTGCTCTATGGACGCAGTCGGAGCAGGATTCCAGACAAGTGCCCCAAGATATTCTGTAAGTTAATTAGATTCTCTTTCAATGCTGAACTACTGGAAACTGTTCAACAGCAACTGCTGTGCTAAGACAATTATTCTGAGAAAAGTGAGCTTCAATAATCGCCGTGAAATGAAACTTGAATCCTGAAGGAATTCCATCATCAACTCACAGGGTGAGGAGCTGGGGCAAAGTTGAGCCCAAGTGGGAGGGAAGGGTGGGAAGGGTGGCCTTTTTTTTTTTTTTTTTTTTTTTTTGAGACAAAGTCTCACTCTATCCCTAGGCTGGAGTGTAATGGCATAATCTTGGCTCACTGCAACTTCTGCCTCTTGGGTTCAAACCATTCTTGTGCCTCAGCCTCCTGAGTAGCTGGGATTACAGGTCTGCTCCACCACGCCCGGCTAATTTTTTTGTATTTTTAGTGGAGAAGGGGTTTTGCCATGTTGGCCAGGCTGGCCTCGAACTCCTGACCTCAAGTGATCCACCCGCCTCAGCCTCCCAAAGTGCTGGGATTATAGGCATGAGCTACTGCACCCAGCCAGGGGCGGCATTTTATAGCCTGTAAGTGTGCGAAAGGAACCAAGGTCAGGAGAATGGGCCTTGGTAGAGTTCTGCTTTATAGTCCCCAGGAACCGGCAATGAGGGGATGTGCTCTCTGAAGCTGGGCTTCCTGATGGCCTGGAGAGAGGCCTGGCCCAGGATTACAGCCAGAGGATGCTTTGGTCCATTTTGGTGATCATCTGCTCCCTACTTCACAAAGGTAAAGGTAGGATTTGCCATCAGAACGCACATCAGTCTCAGAGTGGCCTTTGGACAAAAACAAAAAGCAAAAGCAACAAAACCCCACAGATCAGCATTTCTTCATCAGAGAGTTTCCATGATTCCGTTGGGCTTAATGCAGGCTTCTAAGTACGTCCTCCAAATGTATCAGCCTCTGCCAGGGGACAGTTGGCAATGTCTGAAGACATTTTTGGTTGTCACACTGAGAGGGTGCTTCTGGCATCTAGTGAGTAGGGCCTAGGATGCTGGTAAACATCCTGCATTACATAGGACAGCTGCCGGCAACAAAGCTTATCTGGACCAAAATGTCAGTAGTGCTGAGGTTGAGAACCCCTGGGCCATAATGCCAGCCAGCTGTCTTCCAGGGAAGTGCATCCCCGTCATCATAAAATAAATACAACAACTAGTATTTTATCTTCCTGACTGGAATAAATTTTGTCTTCAGTCTCAGGGAAGGTTTTCTTTCAATTTAATAAAGTGGGGTGGGATCAAATACAACCATACTTCCAAGAATTTCATTTGGCAGCTTTGATATTTCCAGATCTGCTTGACAAGTAAAGAGCTGATAATGTGCAGGCAGCTTTGGGTTGGGACTCATGAAATCTGAGTCAACTATAAGCCTTATAAAAGATGCATGAAGTCTCCTATAAGGCTTTTTGTTTTGTTTTTGTTTGTTTTTTGATGGAGTTGGAGGTGGGGGCTGGTGGATCTTGCAATGCATTTTCCAGTAGAAATAATGCTATAAATTATGGTATTTTACATCAGTCTATAAAAGTTGGTTTAATTCATAGAACAACAGTATGGTGATGGTAGGGTGACTGCAGTCTTACTGACTGCTGTGTGTAAGATGGTTTCTGTGTGGAAACAGATTCTGAGCTGCAGTTCAAGCAACAGGGCCAGTAGCTAGAGGTGGTTTCAGAGGATGGTAGATGCCATCTGGGGCCACCTGGGGCTGTGCATATTGCTGCCTCAGTACAACCAGGGTTCTTCCAGCATGCAAGAAAAGAGAGGTGAGGAAGGAAACCCACAGTGCCTGGCACTGGAATGTATGATGTGTGTGGGTTGGCAGTCAGTTGGATTTGGGATAGAATTTCATTTCTACCATTTCCCAACTGTATGGCCTTGGAGACATTGCTTAACCTCTTTGAAAGTCTTTCTACATTTGTCAAATGGAGATAGTAATGATAACTAAGTTAAACAGAGATAAGTAAATGGAGATGATAATAATAATAATCATGGTAAGGGGCCGGGCGCAGTGGCTCATGCCTGTAATCCTAGCACTTTAGGAGACCGAGGTGGGTGGATCACTTGAGGTCAGGAGTTCAAAACCAGCCTGCCCAGCATGGTGAAACCCCCGTCTCTACTAAAAATACAAAAAATTAGCAGGGCATGGTGGTGCACGCCTGTAATCCCTAGCTACTTGGGAGGCTGAGGCAGGAAAATCGCTTGAACCCGGCGGGTGGAGGTTGCAGTGAGCCAAGATTATGCCGTTGCACAGCAGCTTGGGCAACAGAGCAAGACTCTGTCTTAAAAAATAAAATAAAATCATGGTAAGGATTAAATGACAGTACCTGAAATACAGCTGAAATGGAATACATGTCAGTTTCCTCCTGCCACCCCTCCCAACTTTCTCTGTTGCCAACATAGTCCTTGTCTGGTGTCATCTCACATCTTCAAAGAATGTCAATATTTGCCCAAATCTTTGGTCAGCTCCAGCCATATCCATAAAACTCCTGCCAACTTAGAACCTCCTGGAATCGAGCAACCTCACAACTTTGGGAACCAATGAGCTACCAAGAAGCCTGAGGAGTAGAGAGAGGCTGCTGAACAAGAGCAGAGAAGCTGATCTTGGTGGCTCTGTCATGCTTTCTGATTGTCACGGGCATGGGGAGGTAAGGGGACCTTGGCATAACATAAGGCCTTGACGTTGTCTCTCCTTGGTTGTCACCTCTCATCGCCCCCACACAGCGGGGCTGACTCGAATGAGATGATTTGAAACTGGGCAGGGGACTGACACCGTGAGCTTACTCATCTTTTTCTCTCCTTTTAGGATTTCTTTGATCCAACTCATGTCCAGCAGGCATCATGTCTGAGAAGCAGGGACCCTGGAGGAGTTCAGGACAGACCACCAGCTGGACGTTTCTCTTTGAGCTAGCTATCTGAGACTGTTTCCTCTGAAAGTGTATTTATGTGCCCAGATGATATAAGAGCACTTACATAATTATGTGAGTGGATTCTGTGAGTTGACTGGAGATCTGTGGACATCTGGCTCTGAAACGCCACAAACCAACCTGGACTCCCCAAGGGGCTCAGGGTGAGCTGTGCTTTTCTTTTGTTGGAGAGTTTTTCCTATTTGCATGTGGAGGGAGAAGTGGCATTGGTTCAATATGGTCTGTCTCAGGTGACTTTCAGACAGTAGGGTTCAGTGTGGAGCTTTGCTGAATCCTGCCCTGTTGGAGTCCTACTGATGGGACTGGGAGTGGTATTGCGGGGAGGGTCCTGGACTTGCGCTCTGAAGATCTGCATTTGAATTTTTTAAATTGCTGCGTAACCTTGAGCAAGTAGTTTAACTTCTCATGATCTCCTCCCATCATCTGGAAACAAGAGAGTCAGACCAGATCACCCCAAAGGATCATAACAGGCTTGGCAGCACGGACTTCCCACTGGGTGACTCTGATGTCACTGAACATGTGTATCGCTCTGCTGCAAATGTAGGTTAACGGTGGGGCAAGTGAGGTGGGATCATGCTTGAGAAAAACATTGTTTTAATTTTAGTTAAATGCTGGGCCACAAAACTAAAATTGGCAAAGACCTTTCTTTTTGTTTTTTTAGACAGGGTTTCACTCTATCGCCCAGGCTGGAGTGCAGTGGTGTGATCTCAGCATACTGCAGTCTTAGCTTTCCAGGCTCAAGCAACCCTCCTGCCTCAGCCTCCTGAGTAGCTGGGACTACAGGCATGCACCACCATGTCCAGGCAATTTTTGTATTCTTTGTAGAGACAGGGTTTTGCCATGTTGCCCATGGCAGGTTTTGAACTCCTGGGCTCAAGTGATCCACCTGCCTCAGCCTTCCAAAGTGCTGGGATTACAGACTTGAGCCACGGTGTCTGGCCAGGCAAAGACCTTGGCCCAGCCACCCTTTTGTGTAATGGCCAAGATGCTCAGAGGGGCCAGCATGACAAATGGAAGGAGGAAGCATGGGCTTTGTAGTCAGAAAAATTTGAGTCGTACTATCAGCTCTGCCACTGACAAGGAAAAATTGTTTACCTTCTCTGAGCCTCAATTCTGCAAAACTGGAATAAGAACACCCACTGCATAAGGTTTTCCTGAGGTTAAAAAATGATAATGTGTTTAAATATTTTGCACATGGAAGGTGCTTGAAAACTGGTTTGTATGATTATCCTTTTCTTATTCATGTTATAATCAGGTATTGGGCTGTGACTATTCCAGGGTGTACTGATAAATGCTCAAGTGAGTTAAGCCTGAGCAAGCTCTGGTACTGATTCCTCACTTCCTGGGTCCTGTCTGGCCCCCTGGTTTGCTGTCAGGAAGACCTAAAGCTGGCTGGGCCGACTGTATACCCTCCTGGTTCACTGTCCCCTCCTTCAACTCTTCCTCCTACCATAATATATAACACGTAACACATAAAGTAGTCCTATGGTCTGTAATGTAGATATTTACTTCCTTACAAAGCAAAGACAGCTTTTTATTGACCTTGAATGGCGTTCTTTGAAATGTTGGCAAGATGCTATTGTTTGAGCAGTACCTCACCATGTCTCATGTCCCCTTTTCCAGGGCATAAAGTATTATTCCACTGGGTTCCCACCAAGCGGGGAATCAACTAGCATTCAATAAACCTAGTTACATGCCTTGAAAGGTGGTTCATAAACCTGCAGAAAACCCTAAATCAGGCAGACGAGTGGAAGTGGCTTGGTTGTCACTGACTATGTATGTCTTAAGACCAAGTCGGCTTGCTCCTTCATCAGAAGCACAGCCCTGGAAAGTGCGTTTCACTAAAAATAGGGCAGTTGGAGGCATGACTGCACCAGCAGATAGTTTTCGCAGCAGCTTTTGGGGCAGGCTGACTGATAAAGCTTTCTGCTCTGGGTGCTCCAGATTACTCACAGCTGTTTCCAGACCAAAGCGCCCTGGGGAGGCTGGCATCACGCCACGCGTCAGGTGCTTGTTATCAAACACTGCGCGTGAGGCCAGAGTCGGCCTAATCAGCCTCCAAGCCTTGCCTGGATGGAATGGATCAGGGAGGGCTGGCGACCTGTTCTGTCACTGTATTCTTTTTTTTAAGACGGAGTTTCGCTCTTGTTGCCCAAGCTGGAGTGCAGTGGCTCGATCTCGGATCACTGCAACCTCCACTACCCTCCTGCCTCAGCCTCCCGAGTAGCTGGGATTACAGGTATGCACCATCATGCCCCGCTAATTTTTGTATTTTTAGTAGAGACAGGGTTTCACCATGTAGGCCAGGATGGTCTTGATCTCTTGACCTTGTGATTCACCCACCTTGGCCTCCCAAAGTGCTGGGATTACAGGTGTGAGCCATCGTGCTCGGCCTCTGTCACTGTATTCTAAAACCCAGCAGTTTCCTTTACGTGTGTGTGTGTGTGTGTGTGTGTGTGTGTGTGTGTATAACTTCTAAAAAAAAGTTGGATTTTTCCTTCCATTGCAAGTTGAGGGTAGTATAGCATAGTGGTTAATGGGTATGCTTCAGAGCCAGACTTCCTGGGTTTGAAGCCTGTTCTCTTTTGTTTGTTTTAAATTAACAAACATAATTCTATTTTTTTTCTTTTGTAGAGGTGAGGGTCTCACTACATTGTCCAGCCTAGTCTTGAACTCCTGGCCTCAAGAACCGTCTCACCTTGGACTCCTAAAACTGCTGGGATTACAGGTATGAGCCACCACACCCGGCCTCAAACTTAATTCTTTTAGAGTAGTTTTAGGTTCACAGCAAATTGAGCAGAAAGTGCAGAGAGTTCCTATATACCCCTTGTCTCCTCCCCTGCTATTCCCCTCCAGATAATATTTCTTACAGCTGATGAACCCATATTGACATGTCGTTATCACTCAAAGTCCATAGTTTACATTAGGGTTCACTCTTGGTGTTGTAGATTCTATGGCTTTTGACAAATGTATAATATGTTTCCCTCGTTGTGGTATCATACGGAGTATTTTCACTGCCCTAAAAATCCTCTGTGCTCTGCCTATTCATCCATCCCTCCCCCCGGAAACCACTGATCTTTTTACTGTCTCCATAGTTTTGCCTTTTCCACAATATCATACAATTGGAATCATACAGTATGTAGCCTTTTCGGATCAGCTTCTTTCACTTAGTAAAATGCATATAAGTTATCTTTATGTGTTTTCATGGCTTGATAACTCATTTCTTTCTAGAACTAAATGAGATTCCATTGTCCGAATATACCACAGTGATTTGTTCATTCACCCACTGAAGGATATCTTGGTTGCTTCTAAGTTTTGGCAATTATGAATAAAGCTGCTATGAACATCTGTGCAGGTTTTTGTGCGGACATAAATTTGCAATTCATCTGGATGAATAACAAGAAGCGTGATTGCTGGATCATAGGGTAAGAGTAGGTTTAGTTTTGTAAGAAACTGCCAGGCTGTCTTCCAAAGTAGCTGCACCATTTTGGTTTCCCACCAGCAATAAATAAAAGCCACGGTTGCTCCATGTCCTCCAGCGCGCTTGATGTTGTCAGTGTTTGGGGTTTTTGGAGCCTGTTTTTGCTACTTCTTAGCTTTTGATGACTTGAGGCAAGTCATTAAACCTCTCTGCCTTGGCTTCTTAGTTTGTGAAGCACAAAACAGTAGGACCTCCATGACTGGGTTGATGTGAGGGTTAAATAAAGAGATTCATGGAAGGCATGAGGAATAGGGCTGGCGCCTGCATGTAGACTCAATAAACATTAGCTATGATGTTTGGATTAGGTTGGATTTCTGTCCTAAGAAACAGCTGAGATTCTTGAGCGCAAAACAGTGTTTAGGCTGCGGGATGGATTCCACGAAGCTCTTTCCTTCTTTCTTTCTTTCTTTTTTTTTGAGATGGAGTCTCGCTCCATTGCCCAGGCTGGAGTGCAGTGGCATGATCTCGGCTCACTGCAACCTCCGCCTCCCAGGTTCCAGCGATTCTCCTGCCTCAGTCCCTGGAGTAGCTGAGACTACAGGCATGCGCCATCAGGCTCGGCTAATTTTTGTATTTTCAGTAGAGATGGGGTTTCGCCATGTTGGCCAGGCTGGTCTCAAACTCCTGACCTCAGGTGATCCACCCACCTCAGCCTCCCAAAGTGCTGGGATTACTGGAATGAGCCACAACGCCTGGCCCACGAAGTTATTTCTAATAATAACATGCCATCACCATGCTGAGGGATATAATCTCATTTGAACAACACCACTAGGTGACAAGGTAGACACACAAATTGTCTCCACTGTCAGATGAAGAAATAGGAGGGTGACACCTGGAGCAGGAGGCTCCCAGGACCCCTTGTCAGCACCATGGCTGTCCTCCTGTTGCTCCGGTCTGAGCGTTTACATAATTTGGTCTTACCCCTGGTAAAGTTCTTCCTGTGTCCTTGGGAAATAGGACAGGGAAGAGGGGAGAGCGGCGGGGGGAGCAGGAGGGTCTTCAGGCAGTCTCCCTCTCCGCCTGGTGCCTGAATAGTGCTGAGAGGATGCAGGGGTCTGCACATTCCAGATGAAGGATGTGCTGTTTCCACGCCCAGCTACCCACTGCACAGACAACGCTCCATGGCTTCCTTCATGAGCTGTCTATATGGAGAAAGTTTCTAGAACAACAGCCACCATTTGTTGAACCCCCACTACATGCTCGGTACCCAGGAAAATGCCCGTTTAACCCTCCTAGCCACTCTGTGAGGTATGAATGATTATTAGCCTCATTTTCAGATAAGGAAGCAGGTCAGAGAGGTTAAGTAGTGCCCAGGCCCAGAGTGAGTAAGTGGCAGACTTGGGAGCCTGACCTGGAAGCCACAGCCTCACAGGGACTATGCCCAGTGGGGAATGTCTTGGTACTGCAAGAAGAAGACTCAGAAGCTTCTGACGAATGAGTAAGGGGGCCACTTTTTAGGAAACTGCAGAAAAAGGAAAAAAAAAATTGTGGAGAGATCTGCTACATAGCCATGTTCCTCTGGCATCCAGAACAAAAGGATCCCAAGCCCCATGGATGTCTGCCCTGGGGCTCATGCCCTGGGGCTTACCAGGCTTGGAGCCTGGGTCACTTTCTGTTTGGAAGTGAGGCAGCCACAAGGCCCCTCTTGTTCCCTCTGGGACACCTGCCCTGAATATAGTGCATTCAGATGGACCCCGTGACCTGTCCTGAGGTTTCACGTCCACACTCAGTCTCCTGGCTCTGTGGGAGGAGCGCTAGGCCAGGCTGGGATGAGACAGAGCTCCTGCCATGGAAGTCTGGCACAGACTGTCCTGGATGTCCAAGCAATACCTATTGCCTTGTGATATGGTTTGGATCTGTGTCCCTGCCCATATCTCACATGGAATTGTAATCGCCGATGCTGGGGGTGGGGTCTGGTGGAAGCGATTGTATCATGGGGGCAGATTGCCCCCTTGGTGCTATTCTCATGATAGTGAGTGAGTTCTATCTAGATCTGTTTGTTTTAAAGTGTGTGGCGCCTCCCCGCCCCCACTCCTGCCCCTGCCATGTAAAGATATGCCTGCTCCCCCTTTGCCTTCCACCATGATCGTAAGTTTCTTGAGGCCTCCCCAGAAGGAGAAGCCACTGTGCTTCCTGTACAGCTTGCAGAATCGTGAGCCAATTAAACCTCTTTTCTTATAAAGTACCGAGTCTCAGGTATTTCTTTATAGGAATGAGAGAATGGACAAATACACCTTGACTCAAAACTGTGGAAATCACATTTAAGAATAGAAAGTGCTTGAAAAAAGATCTTTAAAAATATTATTCAATGGACAGCTTGGGCAACATGGCAAAACCCCATCTCTACCAAAAAATAAAAAAATTAGCTAGGCATGGTGGTGCACACCTGAGGTCTCAGCTACTCCAGAGGCTGGGGTGGGAGGATCACTTAAGCCCAGGAGGCAGGGTTTGCAGTAAGCTGTGATCATGCCACTGCACTCCAGCCTGGGTGACAGAGTGATAATCTGTCTCAAAAAAAAAAAAAATTCAATAGAGAATTTATATTATACCTTATATATATATATTAATTTAGGTTATACCTTGATTACAGTTATGAAAAAAAGATGAAAGGAGAAAGAAAAAGATTGGAAGGAAGCATGTTCAAATGATAACCGGTGATTTCTTTTTCTTTCCATTTTTTCCAAAACACGTGACACATTTACTTTACAATGCAAAACATATATTTAAAATTTTTCCCTTTTCCTCTTGGACAGCTTATGTCCATCTCAAGGAGTTAGAAGGAGATTAGATAACCAGGAAGAGACCAATCTTTTCTATAAATTTCCTTCTTTGTAAAATGGGGGAAACAGTAGAAGAACAGTATAACTTTATAGGATTAGTCTGAGCATTAAATGGGACAATCTGGGTAAAATTTTTATTGCAAGTCTAGCACATGGTAAATGGTCTGTGTTAGTGATTAGCAGCATCACCATCACCTTCATCATTAGTGTTAGACCATCAGGACACTCCTGGACTTGGGAGTTCACCATTCCACTAGACATCACAGTTCCAATATTGTGTGCCTGTGGCATGTGAAGAGGAAGCAGAAATGCCACTTCCTAGTTGGCTGATCTGTGAGTTTCTAGCCATGAGCTGAGAGAGAAATCAGCCTTAGAGTTGGAAGTGGTGAACTTTCTGTAGCGATAGTAGAAGCTGACCTTGTCACTCCCAGGAATGCACCTGCCACTCAAATCAAACCTCCCTGTGAGCAAGGAGGGCAGGCATTCTTCCTTCAGTACAGCACCAGGAATCTCCTGGGGACAGGGGGAGGAGAGATGGGGCAGGTCAGAAAGCCTGCTGTCTCTGCATGGAAAGGGGGTGGAATTCTGGACCTAGCCAAGGTTAAGTTCCTAGCCAAGTTCATCCAGTAACATGACTTCTTTCTTTTGGTTGATAGCTCCACTATCTCTATCTAGCCCTCACCTTTCCTCTAAGACTTGTTTTATATACAGTTGTCTATTCGACATCTCTACTTGGATGGGGTTTAATATACCCCAAATAATACTCTATTCTTTTTTTATTAGCACGCCCTCAACCTACAAGTCTTCCTCTCCTTTCCATCTCACAGAATAGCACCACAAACTACCTACTTGCTTGAGGGAAAATTTAGGAGTCACCTTCAATTCCTCCTTTCTTCAACCATATCCAGTTCATCAAATGGCTCTGATATATATCCTGAATAATCTCCTCACCCCTGCTCCCCCACTCCCTACCTCCAGAGCCATAGTCCAGTCCAAGCCACTAACACCTTTCCAAACCATTCTTCACACAGCAATCAGAGTGCTGCACAAACAAGGTAAATCAGGTCATAGAAACTGGCATAAGAACTCCAATGGCTTCGTACTGCCCCTGGAATAAAACCCGAACTCCCTACTCTGAACGCCAAGGCCTGTGTGATCTCACTTCCATCCACCTCCCCAAGGCTTTGATTCAAACGCACTCACATCTATTTGTCAGACGCACGGAGCGCTTGCCCACAGCAGGGCCTCACTGCTCCTTCCATCTGGTATACCCTTCCGATGGCTAACCCTTTTTATACTCAACTATCAGGTCAAATGGCAGCTCCTCAGAAGGCCTTCCCTGGCCTTCCAAAGCCCCCATCACATCTGAGTAAGACACCCCTCTGTCCCTAATGGTGACTACCACATTGCTCTGTTGATTTTCCTTATACCCCTCATTACACTGTGAAATTATCTTGTTCACTCATTTACCAGGTTTTGGCTGTTTCCCCCAAATGGGGATAAATGCCACAAAAGAAGGGTGTTGTCAGTCATGTGCATCATTGCATGTCTTGCTCCTGGAACAGCATGTGGGACATACTGGTTGCCAAATGTGAAAGGGAGGCAGGAGCAGATGATTTGTGTACAGGTATGTGGGGCCCGGTTCGGGGATCCAGGCGGAGTTGAGTATGATGCCTGATAGGATTGTCATGCCCAGTTGTTGCAGTTTAGATGCCAAAACCTCCACCCGAGGTGAACTCTGAAACTTCCCCGATAGCCCTACTGCAGTGCGTGGGCTTCTTCCTTCCTGGGCTGTTTTCTCACCTTTGTTACAAACAGCTTGGCAATACTAGCATGATGGAATAAGGGTTGAGAGAATCATCTTTGAGCTGGATGACCTTTGTCCTGGCACAACTGGATGGTGTTTGATCTGATGTACCCAGCACTGTCAGCAGGGGGATCCACTTCCTATCCCATCTTCACAAGGTGAAGGATCAGGAATCGGTGAAGAAACCAAGTTTTCTTTCTCATGAACAGGAGAAACGTAGGCTTTTAATATCAAATGAATGTGTGAACCCGGATTATCTGAGACAGGTCTCAGTCAGTTTAGGAAGTTTATTTTGCCAAAGTTAAAGACACATGCCAGTGACACAGCCTCAGGAGGTCCTGACGACGTGTGTCCAAGGTGGTCCGAGCACAGCTTGGTTTTGCACACACACTTTAGGGAGACATGAGACATCAATCAATATATGTAAGATGAACATTGATTCAGTCCGGAAAGGCCGGACCATTGGAAGCAGAGGCGGGGCAACTCAAAGTGGGGAGGGGGCTTCCAGGCCATAGATAGATAAGGGACAAAAAGTTGCATTCTTTTGAGTTTTTTTGTTTGTTTGCTTTAATTGAGTCAGGGTCTCACTCTGTCACCCACACTGGGGTGCAGTGGCGCCATCTCAGCACTGCAACTTTTGCCTCCCGGGTTCAAGTGATTCTCCTGCCTCAGCCTCCCAAGTAGCTGGGACTAGAGGCGCCTGCTACCATGCCCAGCTAATTTTTGTATTTTCAGTAGAGACAGGGTTTCACCACCTTGGCCAGGCTGGTCTCGAACTCCTGACCTCAAGTCATCTGATGTACCCAGCACTGTCAGTGGGGGGATCCACTTCCTATCCCACCTAGGTCTCCCAAAGTGTTAGGATTACAGGTGTGAGCCATGGAGCTTGGCCTCTTTTGAGTTTTTGATTAGCCTCTCCAATCAGATATGCATTTACCTCAGTGAGCAGAGGGATGACTTTGAATAGAATGGGAGGCAGGTTTGCCCTAAGCAGTTTCCAGCTTGACTTCTCCCTTTGGCTTAGTGATTTTGGGGCTCTAAGATTTATTTTCCTTTCACAAATGGATCTGATGACTGGAAAATGGTTCCCCTGACTCAGAGCCTCTGCTCTGACCTAGAGCACTATCTCCTTTATCTAGAACACTCTTTCTCATATACCGCGTGACTTCCTATCCCATCTTTTATATGATTGCTCAAACATCCCATTCTTCATGAGGTCCTCCTCAGCTACTTTTACAAAAATTCTTTGCTCACTTTCACCCAGCCTGCTTAGTTTTTCTCCAGAGCACTATCACCATCTACCAAGCTATAGACTTTATTGAGTGATGTGTTTATTGTCCCCCACCCTCCAGTGTAAGCTCCATCAGTGAGGAGACTTTGTTTCTTTGGTTCCCTGTGTATCTCCAGCATTCAGACCAATGCTCACCACATCACATGTGCTCACTACATATCTGCTGGATGAAATAAAATCTAGGTATCAGAATCACAGGTTCATGGCGTGGGAGGATTTCTGGGCTAAGGCATCCTAATAAGAAATGGCATCAAGCCTGAGATGTCACTGAAAATGAAGTTTAAAACAAAAAAACCAAAGCACTGAAGCTAAGTACGTGTCCCAGGGCTACAAAATTATACATCTCTTAGATTTAATGGAGCCACAAACCAAGGTACTTAGAATGAAAAAGATTTCCTTCCTTCCTTCCTCCTTCCTTCCCTCCCCCTCCCCCTTCCTTCCTTCCTACTTTCTTTCTTCCCCTTCCTTCCTTCCTTCCTTCCTTCCTTCCTTCCTTCCTTCCTTCCTTCCTTCCTTCCTTCCTTCTTTCTTTCTTTCTTTCTTTCTTTCTTTCTTTCTTTCTTTCTTTCTTTCTTTCTTTCTTTCCTTTTTCTTTTTTTGATGGAGTCTCGCTCTGTCGCCCAGGCTGGAGTGCAGTGGCGCCATCTCGGTTCACTGCAAGCTCTGCCTCCAGGGTTCACGCCATTCTCCTGCCTCAGCCTCCTGAGTAGCTGGGACTACAGGCGCCCGCCATCACACCCGGCTAATTTTTTGTATTTTTAGTAGAGATGGGGTTTCACTGTGTTGGCCAGGATGGTCTCGATCTCCTGACCTTGTGATCTACCCGCCTCGGCCTCCCAAAGTGCTGGGATTACAGGCGTGAGCCACCACTCCTGGTCTCTCTCTCTCTCTCTCTCTCTTTCTTTCTTGTTTTTCTGAGACAGAGTCTTGCTCTTGTTACCCAGGCTGGAGTACAATGGCACAATCTCAGCGCATTGCAACCTCTGCCTCCCGGGTTCAAACAATTCTCCTGCCTCAGCCTGCTGAGTAGCTGGGATTACAGATGCGCACCACCACGCCTGGCTAATTTTTATATTTTTAGTAGAGACGGGGTTTCACCATTTTGGCCAGGCTGGTCTCGAACTCCTGACCTCGTGATCACCTGCCTTGGCCTCCCAAAGTGCTGGGATTATAGGCATGAGCCACCGCACCTGGCTAAGATTTGTATTTTAGAAAGAATTTTACTTATTTTGTAATTGATAGTTGGTATGGATTGAGTATTTGTGCTCCCTTGAAAGCCCTATGTTAAAGCCCTGATCCCCAGTGTGATGGTATTTGGAGGTGAGGTCTTTGGAGATAATTAGGGTTAGATTAGGTCAGGAGGGTGGGGCCTTCATGATGTCCTCATTAAAAGACTACAAGACAGGAGACCATGTGAGGATACAGCTAGATGTCTACAAGCCGGGAAGCAGGCCCTCACCAGATGTCAAATTTTTCAGTACCTTGATTTTGGGCTTTCCAGCCTCCAGAACTGTGAGAAATAAATTTCTGTTGTGTATAAGCCACCCAGTCTATGGTACTTTGTTATGGCAGCCCAATTGACTAAGATACTGGAGTGGTATTATAGAACAGTGTTATAACCTCCTTGAATTGCAGTGCTAGTTGGAGGACTAAACTCTAGGAGGCAGTGTTGCATATTCTGAAGAAATTGTTCTTTCTAACTCTCCTAAGAACACACAGTGTGACCTTAGACCAGCCACTTTCCAGCCTTGAGCCTTCGAGTCCTCATCCGTGATGGGAAGGAAATAGATTGGACATACTTTAAGTTTCTCAGTCAATGCTAACATCTGTAATCAATTCAGTGTGCAAGATGATGTTAATTTGCCTAGATCTTTTTTCATCTAATATTCACCTTTATGTTTATTTACCCAATGTCCTCACTGTTGGTGCAGAGTAAATTCTATCTGGAACCACTGCTTAGGATTGCTGTCTCAGTGGAAAATAATATCTTTCTTTCTCCAGATGTCATTGTTTTCCTCTTTTTAATTCCTTACCTTTCCTACAATCCAGAATTGTAAGAAAACAAATATTAGAATAATATTTGACCAAATATCTGGGCATTATGGCCCAGCCAAGTCGACACATAAAATTAGCCATCACATAGTACCGACTACTTATGCTTTGCTTTTCTAAAAGTGTTCTATATGCTTTATCTAAGTGTTCTATATGCTTGATATAAGAAATGCTGAGGCCTGGAGGGATTGAAATGGCTTGTCCAAGGTCACACAATAAGTGGCACCATGGGACAAAACCCCAGGTCCTGTTATTCTGCATCCCATGCTCTTTCTCCCTCATCCTGCTGCTTCTCCAGAGTTGGCAGTTACCAGGAGCATGTCATTCATGGTGATTTGTACCTGGCTGTGAAAGGCCCTCTGGATCAGAGGCACAATCACTGACAGTCTGATTTGGAATCCTTGGTCTTGTGACACAAAACACAATCAGCCCTAGCTCGGATGGACGGTTTTGAGAAGGTGTGAGTTTTTCCTTTTGCTTTGCTTTTTTTTCATTGTTGCAAGCAATTTGGCTTCCTGATGTCTATTTTTTCATTTCTCAGCCATGACAAAGGCCATGGTGATGAGTTGCTTCTGTGAGGTATTGACCATCCCTTGTACTCGGGATCAATTCACTGGGTCCAGCTCACAGAAAGACGTTACAGACAGATTACTGGCAATAAATGTGAACAAAGCCACAATGATGGAAATACATCTAAGTTTCTCCTGGGCTCTTTTGCTTTATTTACCTATTGACTTTTCAGCACCATGTCTTTCAGATGTGTCTAGGAAATGCCTCGTATATCTCCTTACTAGCATTAGTCACAACTATCAGCTGACAATGAATTTTGTCCTAGGTTGTTGGGAGTTGCCATGATGCTTAAGGACTCTATGGAATAAAAGAGGGAGAGTATCTTTGGAAGTTTAATTTGGTTGACCTGGGAGGACGTCTTAGGAGTAAAATAAGATCCACATTAGCACATGATAAAATGGCCCTATTGTTCTGTGGAGCGTTTTTTTCTTTTTTTCTTCTTTTTTTTTTTTTTTTTGAGATGGAGTCTCACTCTGTTGCCCAGGCTGGAGTGCACTGGCATGATCTCGGCTCACTGCAACCTCCACCTCCTGGGTTCAAGCAATTCTCCTGCCTCAGCCTCCTGAGTAGCTGGGACTACAAGCACAAGCCACTATGCCTGGCTAATTTTTGTATTTTCAGTAGAGATGGGGGTTTCACCATGCTGGCCAGGCTGGTCTTGGACTCCTGACCTCAGGTGATCCTCCTGCCTTGGCCTCCCAAAGTGCTGGGATTACAGGTGTGAGCCACTGTGCCTGGCCTGGAGCAGTTTTTTCCTTGGGAAGCCAAATGGTAGTAGAGTTAGTTTCAACTAAACCCTGCCTTTGGTTCAGTGGGAGCCAGTAACATTGAAACATGTGATGTCTGGGCCTTGGCAACCATCAAGACAAAATTCAATTTGCCCTAGAATTTTCACACTCAGGGGAAACACACATGCGCACATACACACACATCAAAAGAAAGTTTGCCAAAGGTTCGGGGTAGCAGGAGGGACAAGGGGAAAAGCTTTCATTTAAGAACAGTCATGAATGGTTAGCATATGAAAGGTATCACACCAGGTCCTGGGCCTGCAGCCTCTGTAGCCTCACAGAGCTCATGGTCTCCAAAAGGCAAATTCAACAAATATTTATTAAGGTCCTACTGTGTGTTAGACACGGAATGAAATGTCCCATCCTATTTGGTGCCATCACAGAACTTCAGTCCAATAGGGCATAGGTGCTGTGATAGGGGAGACAGAGGATATGGAATTCTGTAGCCTGCCCTGGCCTGGAAAGCATGGGAAAGCTTTCTAGATAAAGTGACATCAGAGCCGCCCTCTTAAGGATGTGTAGAAGTCAACCAAATGGAGGCCATTTTTGGGCATGGTGGTTTCATTCAGGAGAAAAACAAACGTTTTGGTTGGAAGAGATACGAGGCCATTGGTAGAACTGAAATACAGGCAGATAGGCTGGAAAAGGCGAGTACAAAGCGAGGCTGGGGAATGGCTGGGGCAGGAGGAGGGGAGTGGTGAGAGGTGAGGCTGAGGAGGGGACCAGGGGCCAGAGCTGGGGTGCCTTGTATGCCATATTGAGGAATTTGGGCTTCGCTTTTAGTCTTTTGAAAGATTTTAAGATTTTTAAAAATTATGAATGAAACAATGAGGCCTGAGGCTTTGAAAGTTCACTCTGTCTGCAATTTGCTGTGATATGTCCTTTAATATAGATTGCCCAATTGCCCAGAGAGTACTTCTAGAGCATACTCGAGGATGCAGAAGCAAGGTAAAGGGATGTGGGGACAGGCGGGGCTGTGTCTGTTGCCATCAGCAGCTCTGGGCTCCCTCTTGGGAACTCTGTGGCACTCCTGGTACCTTCTCTGATGTCTCTGTCATCCATGATAGTCGTATGCTCCTGGCCTTCAGGGTGGAGGCTGTCACCGCCCTCTCTGTGATTTTGATCACAGTTTACGTCTGGCTTGCCGCCCCGAATCTTTGGCAAACTTTCTTTTGATGTGTGTATGTGCGCGTGCATGTTTTCCCTGAGTGTGAATATTCGAGGGCAAATTGAATTTTGTCTTGATGGTTGTCAAGCCACTGCAGATTCAGATACTTCCCTCACTGCTGGCTTCTCTACAAATCCAGCAGCTTCTGTCTTGGTGCCTGCCAACACCCAGTGAAGCAGTGAAGAGGCAAGTCCAGAGCCTCAGTGAGGAGACTCAGCTCAAAGATGAAAAGCACACTCCTGTTCTCTCCCTGTTCTATTTGTTACTGGCAAAGTCTTACTTGCTGGGGTAGTAACAGAAACTTGCTGCCTGGAGACTGACAGGCTTGAATGCTGGTTCTGCTGCCTGATAGCTATGTGGCTTTGAGAAGGCAATGTGAACCTTCCTGAACCTCAGACCTTTTTTTTTTTTTTTTTTTTTTGAGACAGTCTCGCTCTATCACCCAGGCTGGAGTGCAGTGGTGCAATCTTGGCTCACTGCAAGCTCCACCTTCTGGGTTCACGCCATTCTCCTGCCTCAGCCTCCTGAGTAGCTGGGACTAAAGGTGCACGCCACCACACACGGCTAATTTTTTGTATTTTTAATACAGACGGGGTTTCACCATGTTAGCCAGGATGGTCTCGATCTCTTGACCTTGTGATCCGCTTGCCTTGGCCTCCCAAAGTGCTGGGATTACAGGCGTGAGCCACCGCGCCCGGCCCCCTCAGACTTTCATCTGTAAATAATGACTGACACTGCATGGTTGCTGTGAGACTAGTAGGTGCACCATAAATAGGTCAAAGAAAACAACAGGATCAAAGGCAAAGCTGTCGCTGGTAGTGACCTTGAGGAGAAAATAAGTTGGCATCTCTGTCTTTATTTGATGATTTCTTCTTATAATAACACTTTCAATATTTTAATTAAATTTCATTTTTTCAACTATTGTCCAGATATTTTTGCCTTGGAGTTTTTAAAGTGTAGGCTGGAGTACAGTGGTGTGATCTTGGCTCACTACAACCTCCACCTCCCAGGTTCAAGAGATTCTTGTCCCTCAGCCTCCTGAGTAGCTGGGATTACAGGCGTGCACCACCAGGCCTAGCTACCTCTTGTATTTTCAGTAGAGATGGGGTTTCACCATGTTGGCTAGTTGACCTCAAATGATCTGCCCACCTTGGCCTCCCAAAGTGCTGGGATTACAGGTGTGAGCCACTACACCCGGTCAAGAGTGTCGAATGTTGATTGACAACAGTAAGCCTAAGGTTAGTCCTTGGAATTGTCATTGTTGCTCAGAGACCTTGTGATTATGGTACTGGCAGTAACGGGATCTGGAATATTACTAAACGGTAATATGGGAGAGAGGGCTGATACTATGAAGAGGTCCTGAGATAAAATTCTAGGATATGTTGTTGTATTAGTTAGGATACCAGCTGAAATGCTATAACAAAGGGACCCCCAAATCCAGTGTCACACAAGTCATGAAACAGGTCCAGGGTCAGGGGGTGGCTCCTGTCATCCTCAACACGTGGCTTCCAAGATCGCTCCAGTCACCCATCTCTCAGACAGCAGGAATGCAGAAAGGGAGCGCCACAGCTTCTCCTTCCAGGAGATGATCTGCAAATTGCACCTGTCATGCTTTGCTCACATTCTATTGCCCAAATGTAGTCACTTGTGATCCATAGAATGGATACTGGGAGACAATTAGTAGACTTTGCTACAGGTAGCCAATAGCCCAGCCTGCAGAGTCACGTCAGATATGAAATCCCAAAGTTCCTCCTGACTATTGGCAACAACAATCACTAACTGCTACTACAAAAAGGTAAAACAAAAATGAACTTACACTTTCAAAATATCATTCATGTATATTAAACAAATACTTCTTGAGTGTCTACCCAGTGCCAGACAGTGGTCTAGGTTCTGGGAGGTACAGCATCGTGGGCCACATGGTTAGAAGCTGAGTGTTCCTAACAAGGAGGCTGATTTTGCTGCTCTACTTTGCACTGGTTAAAAAAAAAATTCCACCTCCCACCCATCAAATATGGGGAGTACTGTGCTTGCTTCTGGGTGCACATTTGAGTAGGACCATTTATGACACCGCCAGCAGAGACAGATCAGGACAGTGGAAGGACTCAAGATCATCAGATGTAAAGAACAATTTGATTCTTGGTTTGGCAAGGTTTGGTCTCAAGAAACGGTGTGTGTGTGTGCACGCGTGTGTGTGTGTGTGTGTTGAGGGCATGTATAGAAGCATCATACTCTTCAGATGTTTGAGGCAGGTCCTGAGCAGGCAGGAGGATGGACTACTTAGGTGTGGACCCACAGGCAGAATCAGAACCAGTGGGATCTGGCTGTCAGGGGACAGCTTTTCACTCAACATGGAGAAGGCCTCTAAAGAGTGTAATGTCCCAGCATGCAGTGTGTTGTCTCAGGAAGGGTGAATTGTCTTTCACTAAAGGGATTCCAGCTGGATGAATCTTGGCAGGATGATTGTAGAGAGAATTCTACCACACAACAAGGCACTGAACCAGGTGACACAAAAATTTCCTTCTCACCTCAAGGTTCTAAGAACAGAAGGTCAGTGACATGAAGACCTACTGTGAATGCATTTACTCCAACCAACCGGGAGCCAGTGGGTATCAGCAGCCTCTGAGGTCTATTCCTTGATGTCTTGCAGATGAAGAGGCTCTCCATTCCACATTCCCCACTGATTTGAAGAGATTCTCCATGTTGGTCAGGCTGGTCTCGAACTCCTGACCTCAGGTGATCCACCTGCCTCGGCCTCCCAAAGTGCTGGGATTACAGACGTGAGCCACCGTGCCAGGCCCATATCCCCCTCCTGATAAGACCCTCAGCTGCCAATTTCTTGGATTCTGTCTTTGGTAAGCAATCCATTTAGAAGGGGAGATTTTAAACATTAACAAGAGCTTAAAGAAATAATTAAAGTGTGTGTGCTTGTGTATTATCTTGGACTCAGGGATGCAGAACCCCCCGCCCATAAGAAAGGCTGTTTCTACTCAAAAGCCCCTCTGTGCTTTGAAGCATCTTCCTCTAAAGTTTCTCATATTCAAGTCCCTCCCTGGTGCCTGGGACTGGCGGGGCTGGCAATGCCATCTGGACAAGGCGCTCTAAGGCGTGTGGGGTTTCCTGCAGGCCCTGCTTCCAGGAGTAACCTGACTGATGCATGGGTCACTCCTGGGTCTGGTGCGGTGTTTTGTTTTTTTCAACATACTGATTTGGAATGACTCAAATTATTTACACACACAGGGGCTCTGCATACGTTAGGGGCAGCCCTGATCGCCCCAGCCCTGTCCATCCATGTCCCAAGCCTCCTTCCCCAGAGGCAATGACAAGTGCATCTGAGAATCTTCAGTCGCCCTCAGGGATGAACATAGCTTCCACCCTTGGTTTCAGATGGATTGAAGCGGAGGCTCTCATCTGGGCCTTTTGAGGCTCGCCATGCTAAGTGCTGCCACCTGGAGGCAGCGTGGAGAAACCCTCGCTGGTGTTCCTCCCTTGGCCTTTGCTTCTGCCACGTGTAGTTTGTTATACGCTGTTTTTATCAAATCGGTCCAAGGTAGGAGATTTAAGAAATAATGTCCATAGATATTTGACTTCGCAAAATAGTCACTTATATACTTTCAGGGAAGAAACATTAAAAATTATGAAATCTGAGGAGGGGGAAGGAGAGGAAAAAAAATCCCAAATGTTTTGCTCCAAAGTCTGGCCCATTTTATTAACTAATATTAAAAATAGTTAATAATTATTGAGTCATAACTTTGCATCAGACCCCATATTAATAGCTTTATCTTCACAATTTCATTTAATTTTTCAAACAACCTGACGAGGAAGGTTCTGGCATTAACACAATTTTGTAGTTGATGAAATTGAGGTTAAGGGATGTTCGGTAGCTTGCTCAAGGTCTTACAGCTAGTAAGTGTTTGAGCCCGACTAGAGCAGTGCCTCAGCTCTTAATCACCATACTATTTAATAATATGATGATATAAACATGATGGCAAGTATGTATTGTGTATGCTATATGGCTAGCTGTGTAATATGAGTTTATTAATACCCACAAAAATAGGTATTACTATTATCTCCATTTCATTTGTGAGAAAACCAAGTCACAGAAAGGTTAAGTAACTTGTCACCAAAAGTGGTCTATCCAAGATTTGAATCCATGAAATCTAAGTCCAAAGCTCATATTCCACTTTTTTTTTTTTTTTTTTTGAGAGAGAGAATCTCGCTCTGTCACCCAGGCTGGAGTGCCATGGTGCAATCTTAGCTTACTGTAACCTCTGCCGCCTGGGTTCAAGTGATTCTTCTGCCTCAGCTTCCTGAGTAGCTGGGATTACAGGCACCTGCCACCAAGCCTGGCTAATTTTTTTGGTATTTTTAGTAGAGATGGGGTTTTGTCATGTTGGCCAGGCTGCTCTCCAACTCCTGACCTCAGGTGATCTGCCCACCTTGGCCTCCCAAAGTGTTGGGATTACAGGCGTGAGCCACCATACCCGGCCCAAAGCTCATATTCTTACTTTTATGTTCAAAGACCTCACTTCTTCACAAATGTTGACCAGGCCATGTTTGAAATTTGGTTTTATATGTGGAATATGTAATATGTTTTTTATGTGGAATGTATATATAAAACATATATAAAAACATATATAAAAATATGTTTTATATGTGGAATGTAAAATCAGAGCTCATAAACCAGGCACAGTGGCATATCGCAGTAGTCCCAGCTACTCAAGAGGCTGAGGTGGGAGGATCACTTGAGTCCAGGAGCTCAGGGCCAGCCTGGGCAGCATAGCAAGATCCATCAAGATCCATCTCTAGGAAAAACAAACAAACAAACAAAAAACAAGAAGAACTTACTCCCCTGGTATACTGTGGACCACAGACCATAGAAAGTACACATTGTCTGCTGAAAAATACGTAGAGAAGATACCTGGCTGGTACCCAGCCAGCAGGTGTTATGGATGCAGGGCGGCAGTGATGCCCATGCCACCCTGTATCTGCTCTTTTAGGTTCTAGGAGGCCCTGAGGGAGGGGGATTGTGTGTATCAGTTTTAGATGTCACCACCAACTCTGAACAGCTCTGAATCCTAGGACACATACTTATATCTGATTTTTACTGCATGTTTTTGTTTTGTTTTGTTTTTTGGAGACAGTCTCACTTCATCACCCAGGCTGAAGCACAGTGGCGTGATCATAGCTCACTGCCGCCTTGACCCCCTAGGCTCAGGCCATCCTCCTGTCTTAGCTTTCTGAGTAGCTGGGACTATAGGCACATGCCAGCATGCCTGGTTAATTTTTAAGTTTTTTTTTGTGTGTGTGGAGATGGGGTCTTACTATGTTGCCCAGGTGGGTCTCAAACTCCTGGCCTCAAGCAATCCTCTTGCCTTGGCCTCTTAATGTTGGGATTACAGGTGTGAGCCACTGTGCCCCACCCTACGCTGCATGTTTCAGTGGGGTAACAACAGAGTGGGATTTGCAAAAACTGTGTGTGGGAGAGACATCGACTCCCTTAGCCTTGGGTACTGGAGGTGAGGCAGCTGCAGAGAACTGCACTGGTGGCTGGGGGGCCATACCCCATCGACCTTGATGGAACAGCTGAAGGACACGGTTGTTTCCACTCTGACGCTGGCTTTCTGCTCTTTGCTCTCAAACGCCTCAGTGCTCCTTCCACAGGCTCTCTGAGTATCACTTGAAATATTCAGAGGAAAGTGGCTCTAAACTTTATGTTGGCCAAACACAAAGCCAGTGCCCATCACGGAAAGAACTCAAGAACATGGGCATATTCTTGCCTCTTATATTTGACGTTTTGCCTAACTCCAGTCTTTTATCAACTTTTGGACTTATAACTTTTAGAAGTTTTATTTCCCCTGCAGTGAGGGGGCTTGATCTTGTCCTTAGTCATCTCTCCCACCAGCAGGATTTACCAACTCTGGCTTAGCTGTTTCTTCCTCCACTTACTGGCTTGCCTTTGTCCTTAGGAGAGTAAAGCTGGCTTTAACACATTCCATATCCCAGGCTGGGCACAGTGGTGCACGCCTGTAATCCCAGCACTTTGGGAGGCCAAGGTGGGCAGATCACTTGAGGCCAGGAGTGGCCTGGCCAGCATGGTGAAACTCCGTCTCTACTAAAAATACAAAAATTAGCCGGGTATGGTGGGGCATGCTTGTAATCCCAGCGACTCAGAAGGCCGAGGCACGAGAATCACTTGAACCCAGGAGGCAGAGGTTGCAGTGTGATGAGATTGTGCCACTGAACACCAGCCTGGGTGACAGAGTGAGACTCCATCTCAAACCCCTGTACCCCCATCCCCCCCAAAAAAACCCATTCCAAATCTTTTCATCTCCTCTCTCTGTGGAGTGCTCTCTGTTGCTCAGCGCTCCATGCCCATTGCTGTGGAGCTGACCTGGGAGTGACTGATGGCTCCTGAGGCTGAAGGATGGAAATAGCAGGAGGGCTCCTGGCTGCCCCGCCTGTGGCAAGAGCCAACCAGCCTGCCAGGTACCGTGAACAGCAGCTGTGGCTATACAACCCTGAATGAAGAGGCTCGAGTTTCCTGAGTGGGAATGGCATGGCAATGACATGCTGTTCCTGAGTTGTCTGGGATCTGACATCTCTGCCAGACCTGCTGCCAATGGGGCCTGGTGAAGCAGGGTTGGTTGGTGCTGGGAGTCCCCGCGGGTTGGATGATTTACACTGTCATCCAGCCAGGGGGAACACCATGACTGTGTACTTCACCCAGAGAGGCAGGTCAACAAGAGAAAAGCATGCAGGTTTAACGTGTCTGAGTGATAGCACGGGGCTGCTGGAAGTTTATAGAAGTGAGCAGAAAGATGATCTGAGAACTTTAACTTCTGTATTTTCTTATGCTTTCCCTGAGTGCATTTGTGGAACTCACAGTGGTTGAGGTCTTCATGGAGCCGGTGATGCTTTAGTAAAAGAAGTACAAACTCAAGATACCTATGAGAGCCAGGTAGGCAACAAATGAGTGAAGCAGGCCTAGTGTAGGACAATAGGGAGTGGCGGAGACTGCAGTAAATTGGAGCATGTTGGCCAAAAAAACAGAGCTATCTGAAAATCAGATTCAGACTACCAGCCACCTTCCCACTGCAGACCAAAATTGTATATCTAATTGTGTTTCAGACTGCTAAATTAAGAAACTTATTAGTAAACATTATTTTGCTTAATGTAAAAAAAAAGACAAAAACTAGATTCAGTAAAATTGCTTTAAGCGCTTCTGCTGTTCCACTTTTCATCATGGAAACTGGTACTTCTGGAATGCCCCAGTTTAAACCCTTGAGTGAGTAATACCATATGTGAAGGGTGGGCCCTAAAGTCAGCACACATAACACTGGTAGAGTGAAAATTACCATTAAAATCTCCTGGGAAGGTACCATGTTGGGCATTAATAAAGTGCATTTCTTAGGAACTCCACATGCCTGGATGCTAAAAAGTGGAGAATGTTTTTCAGTTGAGCAGCAGATGAGATTGTTGGCTTGTGTTTAGGAGCCAAGTTGTTTTGAAAGATTCGAGTGTTGTACCTTTAACCACCAGGATCACTCTTAGCACACTGGAATTGAGGCTGAGGGAGTGGGATTTTTATATCTTCCATCTTCCACTCATTCTTAGGCATCTGTTTCCTGGGGAGAAGGGGAGAAGGGAGAATGGTCTTTTCTTTCTACACGTATACAGGTGCTTCTCTTTTCTTCGCCAAACTCACAGAGTTGAATTCACATAGGCCACCACACATTTAATGTAATTTCAGTGTTCTGAAGCATGGTCCCAGAACCTAAAAACCTCACATGTGTACAAAGAAGAAGGAATTGCTGGTCTTGCATTGGATCTTCAGATGTGTTTCAGGCACCCAAACCAGCTTTGACTAATGACAAAGTACCATCCCATATCATACCCAAGAGTTTAAGTTGTTGCCAGTGAAGCAAGGGAGCAGGAGGGGAGCAGGTACAACTGTAGGGAATGTATTTATAGAGAAATAAGCTCTAGGGTTGGGCTATATCCTTCAGGGAAGTCACATATTTGCCTCATGGTTTATGTGCAGGCCTGATTTTGAAACGCAACTCTGCTAATTGTCAGCTCTGTGACATGGATACAGTAGTTTATTTCCCCAAACCCCAGTTTCCTTACCTATAAAATGGACATAGAGCTACTTCACAGCTCGTTAAGAGAATTAAATGTGCTAAGTAATTGTTATAACTTTAAAAAAATTTCTTTTAGCATAATTTGGCTCTGTTGTTTTACTTGGTCTTTTAGAAGGAAAAGTTTATTTGAAATAGGGGGAGGAGGATTGTAAGAGGTTTTAGTGAGAGTTGTTTTAATAAGTTTTTGTATTAATTTTTTGGCACAGGGTATGATGCAGTATTTTATGAGAATAAGTAACTCTATTTTAATGGCTAGAGAGATGAGGATTGAGGACATAAGGTTTTTTTATTTACTGAACCAATTTTTTATTAAATTTGTGAAGGGATTGTTTAGTTCAGAATTTTTGGCTAGCTTATTTGATAGGACAGTAAGATTCTGTAATGCTTTAGTTATGGTTCCACTGGGAGTAATGTTGTTAGGCATGTAAGTACAGCATTGGGTTTTGATTATGACACAAACTCCACTTTCTTTTGCTAGTAGTATGTTTAATGCTATTTTAGTTTTCCAGGCCATTTGACTGGCAGGTCCTAATTGTTTAGCTATTTTTTAAAATAGTATTTTTAGTATAATTGATAAATCATTGCTGATTGTAATACATGTAATTTATTCAATTTACATTTTTATTTACAGTTAACTATTAGAAGAATGTAGATTCAAATCCATCAGCTATTTGGTTTTGGGCCTTAAATTTATTTGATACTTTTCTTGGGACTTCAATGGCATTTATATAAATATGAGAATTGAAGAACCTATGGGGGGCCTCTTTTCTTTGATGATATTTGGTTTTTATTTTTTCTGGTTGATGAAATGCCAGGGTGAAAGGGATGGCCAATTGAATTACAGCACAAATTTTGCTCTAGTTATTTGGCAGAGTGTTCAGTATTGGTTTATTATAATATTACCACACATCCGCTAGAGGATGGCTAAGGGCAGACTGATGAGTAAGGTTTTGGAAGGGCTAAAGCTCACTGAGTTTTTGTTAAGGCTCCCAGGAACGCTAAGTTTTTTCCCCAAACCCTAGTTTCCTTACCTATAAAATGGGCATAGAGATACTTCACAGCTTGTTAAGAGAATTAAATGTGATAAGGTATGGACAGCACTTACTGCAGTAACTGCCACCTAATAGGTTCAATAAATGTTGGTTTCCCAAGGTTCCTCCATGGACCTCAAAGGGTAAGTCGGCAGAGGTGGTTGAGTGGTTACGGTGATTGCTGATTGACTGTTCATCAGTTGTGTGCTGCAAACATAACTTTCTATCCTAACCTAGTTAACTGTTACAGATGCGGTGTGGAATAGCAGAATCAGCAATGAGCCTAGGGGACCTGTGTTCAAATCCCAGATTGAAATTTTAATTGTTGTGTAACCTGTAGCAAGTTATTTACCTTTTCTATATTCCTCCTATTTAATGGGTAATAGGGCTTTGTAGCTGTCGTGAGGACCGATTGAAGTGATATATATAAAACACCAGGCACATCCTAAGTACCCAATAGTTGTAACCCTCCCTTTCCTGACCTCACTCTCCTTTTTCTTTCACCATTTAGGTCAATTTTCTAATGTTCATCACAACCGTCTCTTTCTTCCTCCTCCAGGTATAGAATCTCCAGATATGTTACTGGTACCAGCATTTGAGAAGGATTTATTTATTTATTTGAGATGGAGTCTCGCTCTGTCACCCAGGCTGGAGTGCTGTGGCATGATCTCGGCTCACTGCAACCTCTGCCCCCGAGGTTCAAGTGATTTTCCTGCCTCAGCCTCTCGAGTAGCTGGGATTACAGGTGCCTGCCACCATGCTCAGCTAATTTTTTGTATTTTTAGTAGAGATGGGGTTTTGCCATGTTGGCCAGGATGGTCTCAAACTCCTGACCTCAAGTGACCCACCAGTCTCAGCCTCCCAAGGTGTTGGGATTACAGGCGTGAGCCACCGTGCCTGGCCTTGAGAGGGATTTTAAATCACTTAGTCTAACCATTCATTTAGAGATGAGCTAAAGGAAGTCCAGAGTATTCAAGTAACTTGACTGAGATCACACAGCTAAGTTTGTGGTTATACTTGATTGAGATTTTCAGGTCTACTAACTTTGGATCTAGATCTGATTTGGTTTTATTTATTTATTTTTTTCTTTCCTTCAAGCATCCATGCACCTAATTTTTTTTTTTTGATATGGTCAGACACTTTTCTAATCCCTGGAGATGCACTGGTTGAAAAAGCCAGTGAATGGAGCTTACATCCCAGTGGAAAGGCCTGGCTGCCTTCTAAGGCAAGTGGGCACATGTCTCATTTCCACTGTACCCATGAGAAGGGCATTGTCCCACCTGGCCCCTCACCAGCTAAACCTTTTTCCCTGCAGAGCATCAGGGGCACATAGCCTCTGCATCAGGGCCAGGGGGAGCAAAACCATGTTGAAGAGAGATGAATGAATGTGACAGAAATCTGCCTGTCTTCCTCCATTCTTTAGTTATGAAAGTAATCGGGTTCCATTTTTATTTGGAAAAAATGACTGATTGAAAGTGTTTTCTAATCTTGGTTGTGCTTTTCCTTTGGAGTCAGTAGGGTCCAGTAAACATGTGGATTAATACCAAGCTTATCATTAGAATTGAAGATGCCGCCACTTCCAGAAAGTTTTGTTCCTTGGGGAATAAAAAAAAAGATGAGATTCATTCACTTCTGAACCCATCTGCAACCATCCAAGCATGGCAGCTGATTTCTAAGGACAGAACCAAGGAGGGCAGTAAACACTCAGTATTCACCCATCTTTGAGGCGTAAAGGGGAGTAAAGACTTAGACTGTAGGTCCAGAGCAGACCTCAGCAAGTAAGAACAAGTGATGCTGGCCATTTGGTGTAAGCCTCCACCTTTGCTGATCCCAGGCTCTAAATAGAATTTGATTGTGGACTCCATCTCTCTGAATTTGCTCCTGCCTTCTTCTGAGTGTTGAAGGATCCTGAACTATCATCTCCGTTTCTCCTTAAACAACAGCTCCTTAAGTAGCAGGCTTTACTCTTGCAGTTTAGTGTGATACAAGAGTTGGCCGATTTTTAGTCGGCTTTTGTGCAAATGAGTGCTATGCCCCAAGCTCTGAAAGGGGAAACGTCACCACTCACAGGTAGCAGAAGGGCAGGCATTTGGAAGGAAGTTAGTATTCAGTGGGGAGGAGCTGGAGTTTTATTTCTTTTCTTCCACTCATATGACCCTCTTTCTCCCCTCTTTCAGATGCTGTTTGTTTCATACCAGTGTATCTAATTTGCAAAAAATATGTAGAACTTATGAAAGGTTGTTTAGTAGATGGGGGGATAATTGGCTCACTCTATGGAGAAAAAAACAACAAAACTTATCCCTACTTAACACTGTAAAGGAAATAGGACAAAAAATGTAGGCGAATATCATGGGAGAGGGATGGGGAAGGATTTCTCATACAAAACTTCAAAAGCATAAAACAAAAAAATTGATGAATTTGATTATATTAAATTAAGGATTTCTATTCAACAAATACCATGGATACTTTTAATAGACACACAAAGGATCAGAAAAGACCACCACAATGTCTGAAACCAACAAGGGTCTATTATTAGTCTAGAAAAAGAAGGAACTCCTGAAAATCAACAAGAAAAGTACAGAAACTCCATTAGATAAAAAAGCAAAGAAGTTGAAAAGGCAATTTTCAGAAGAAGAGTCCTAAAAGGATGCACAGGCACATGAAGAGATGCTTAATGGCATTAGTAATGAGACTAATGTCAATTAAACAACAATTAGGCATCCCTTTACATTTTTCAGACTGGAAAAAACAGATAGTGAGGCGATGCCAAGCTTGGGGTTGGGGAAAGGGATGTAGAGATGCAAGGACACTTCTGGAGGTCAATCTGTTCGTGGGTCTACACCCCAAAGAAACTCTTCTATGGATCCCTAGGTTCTCTGGAGGGAGATCCCTAGGGTCTCTGGAGGGAGGTGGAGGCAATTGGGACAGTATGTAAGTGAGATATGAGACATCCTGGAGTATGCAGCGGCTAGAAGCAATTGGGGCAGTAGATAAGATTTACAAGAGGGAATTTGGGGGGATCTGAAAAACATAGTACTAAGTGAAAAATAAACAGATGAGACCTATACTACAAAAGCATTTGCACACAAAACTATGCATTTTATAAGAATGTATACAAGCAAAGGGCTTCATGTTAAACAAACTGAAATAGTTGGGATGGGGAACGGGATTGTGGATGAAGAAAACAAACTCAGGGGCAAACATGAATGAACTTCAGAAGGCATGTTCTTATTTCTCAGGACCTGCAGAGAGAGTGGCAGATCCATTAGGGAGGATGGGAGGGACAGAACTTCCCGGACACTCAGCTTTAGCGGAATGCCTGACACTCAATAGTTGCTTAATGTTTCATGAATGACTATGAATACAAGTCCAACTGGTGACATCATCCAGGATTTCACCAATTCCTTGATGTTATTCTCCTGGAAGTCTGAGGCAGAGGAATCCATGAGTTTGCTTGGCCCAGGGAAGGTAGTAAACTGACCCAATCCTTTGTAACTATTTTCTACAAAAAAGTCCTTTCTACATAAAGTACCAAATTACATGTCTAGAAGATACAGTTTGTTCAGTCCTCAGAAAGACACATATAAAAGCTGAAGCTAGATCAGTTGTCTATCCACAGTCTAGCAGCTTATTGGCACAAGTTCTTCAATAATATTGGTAAGAATTTATTATTATTATTTGAGACAGACTTGCTCTGTTGCCCAGGCTGGAGTGCAGTAGCATGATCTCAGTTCACTGCAACCTCTGCCTCCCGGGTTCAAGTGATTCCCGTGCCTCAGCCTCCCAAGAGCTGGGATTACACGTGTGCGCCACCACGCCCGGCTAATTTTTGTACTTTTTTTTAGTAGAGACACGATTTTGCCATGTTAGCCAGGCTAGTCTCAAACTCCTGACCTCAAGCGACCTGCCCGCCTTGGCCTCCCAAAGTGCTGGGATTATTGGCATGAGCCACTGTGCCGGATTTGTTGTCACTCTTTATATAAAGTATAATCTAAGGAAATTACAATCATGCCAGCAATGGCATTTAGCTACTCTTACTGGTAGGAGCCATTCAAGGAATCTAAGCATGAACCTCGGGGTTCAAATCTGATTTTTCTGAATTTGAGATATCAGATCCTCTATCATCAAGGGAGAAATGGTAATTACTTCACAGCTTGTACATAGAATAGGAATTTAGCCTGTTGCTGGGCTAATCTGTTCTCTTCTAGTTCTATTTCTTCCTCTAGCTCATCTCTTATCATTAATCTCCTTGATGGTTGTCTCATTTTTACCTTCTTATTGGCCTAAATCAGCTTTCTCAAACTTGGTATATTGGGCCAAATAGTTGTGGACGTCTGTCCTGTGCCTTGTAGGATGTTTAGCAGCATTTCTGGCCTCTACCCACTAGATGCCAGAAATACTCCCCAGCCTGACAACTAAAATTATCTCCAGACATTGTCAAATATCTTCTGGGTGCAAAGCCATCTCTGGCTGAGAGCCACTGGCCTAGACAAAAAACCTGGAACGCACCAGCGCTTTTGTGCAAAACCCATTTTAGAAACGTTCTTATTTGTTTTCTGGATACAAGATACAACATTCCCTTTGCTGCTTCTGGCAAATGTCTAAAATTAGAAGATCAGAGATGATTCTAGGTAACCACCTGGCCACATCTACCTGTGGCAAAAGGAAGGTTTGAGTCCACTTTCTGAATTAACTCAGAGACAAAACAAAATAAAACACAAAAACGTAATCTCCAAACTGAATTAATTATTTGAGCAAATGTGGTTTTTGGGTCTCTATTTTACAGGGAAATTGGTGCATTTTCCATTTGCCATGGCCAGGCATGAGCTGACTGCACAGGTGGAGGTGATGAAGAGAGAGAGTTTGGAGAGAGGTGAATGTTTGTTAGGATTCTGTCTCTCAAGCTTTGCCAGTGAATAGGAATATTTTTTCTGGGTTTTGTAAATTTGCAAAAAGAGAATGATCCTGGTATTCTTGAATTGGTTCTTTCGACTCAGTGGCCACATGAGTGGAAAAGCCTGTCCCAAAAATTAAGGTCCATAGAACTAAAAAAACAAAAAAGCATGCAAAAGTATTGAGGACCTATCTGACATAGTTCAACAAGACAAAATGAGGAAATCCTTGGTTGTTACTGTTAATAGCCCAGCACATCAGAAAATGTTTGTTGTTGATCATGTAGATGATTGTGATAAGAGAGGGGCAGGGGGAATTAGGTTTCAACCTGCTCTTGCTTAGGAGTTTTTACAGTTGTAGTTGTTCTTTCTAATTAACTGATCCAGGACCAGGTTTAGGGAGATTAGATACCTCAAGAGGGTCTTCTAACTTTGAACCAGGGGTTCTAAATCCTCTAGATTTATAGTGGAGAAAACAGAAGCAACTACTTTTCTCCAGTTCCATGTTTTGATTGAGGGGATGGAGACACATAATGGGTTAGAGGAGGAATTCATTGCCATGGTGATGAGGCCTGGGATATGGTGGACAGTGAAGAACTATGACAAAAAACACTGCAGAGAAAGAAGATGTGGGAGGAGTTGGGAAGCATATGAAAGGAAAAAAAAACCAAGAGAGAAATGACTAGATTAATAATTTGGAAGCTTAATGGTGTGTGTCTTAGAAGAAAAGTTTTCTGAGCCAGGCACAGTGGTGCATGTCTGTAAGCCCCAGCTTCTCCGGAGGCTGAGACAGGCAGATCTCTTGAGCTAGGGAGTTCAAGGCCAGCCTGGGCAACATAGCAGGACTTGTCTCTAAAAAAAGAAGGAAAGCTTCCTGAATGAAAGAGGCTAGAATCCTGTAGAATAAGTAGATCCTGGCAAACAAGTGACTAAATGAGGAAGAGAGGAAGGGCTTTTTCTGAAGTTCATAGTGAATCCATGGGAACATTAATCCCCAGTCATGCTTGCCATCCATACAGTGCTGCTGCATTCCCAGCCTCCTCTCACGATGCCTCATGAAGGGCAAGTGAAATGAGCCAGAAAAGAGCCCATTTTATAGATGAGAATAAGAAGTTCAGAAGAACGCAGACTTGTTCAAATTTGTAAAGGAAAACACTGGTTTTCCTTATCCCATTATAACTCATGGCCACTTGGGCTCAGTAGATTCTCAGAGAGTAGATTTTATGACATTAAGAGCTCAGAAAAATGACTTAAAATGGAATCAAACAGGGTGTGGTGGCTCATGCCTATAATCCCAGCACTTTGGGAGGCCAAGATGGGTGGATCACTTGAGGTCAGGAGTTCAAGACCAGCCTGGCCAACATGGTGAAACCCTGTCTCTACTAAAAATACAAAAAAATTAGCCAGGTGTGATGGCGGGTCCCTGTAATCCAAGCTACTCGGGAGACTGAGGCAGGAGAATTGCTTAAACCCAGGAGGTGGAGGTTGCAGTGAGCAGAGATTGTGCCACTGCACTCCAGCTCTGGGCGACAAAGTGAGACTCTGTCTCAAAAAAAAAAGAAAAAAAAAAAAAGAAAGAAAAAAATTGAATTGATTTTTCTGGAGAAGAAGGAAGCTAGAGGCGAAAACACCAAAAACAAGAGGAGTATTTCTAAGATTTAAACAAATCTTTACTTTCATGGCAAATTTTACATTTCTCCATTCCATTTAAAATATTTTCCATAGCTTAGCTGAACCAGGCTGAAAGTGGATGTCTGGAGTGGTGGAGGCGATACACCATGAAGTAGACAGGACAATAAAGGAAGGGGAGATAACAGCCTTCTTTGTTTTGCTGGGTGCCAGTCATTCTCTAAAATTCTTGGAAAATTGAGAAAAAGTTAGTGGGCCATTTCCTTACTGAACTACAAACCCCAGCATCAGGGCAGAGTTATCTCTACAAAGCAGGGAGAGAACGCAACAAATAGAGCTTGGCCTCACCGCACTCTCTGGCTTTTGGATCACATTTAATGTGAGAGAGTTGAGCCTGTTCTTGGAATGGGCAAACTCAAAAGATTAAGCCACCAGGCCATGTGACCATTCATCCAGGTGGGTGAAGGTTCCAGGACTCAGGGAAAAAGGAGCTAGGCAGGCAATGAAATCAGGTACATGAGAAGAAATCATTTTGTTTTTTTCAACCGTGGTCTGTGTTGAGTAAAAACTCATTTTAGAATTAATAGAGAATTTCTTCATCTGCTCTGAGCAATTGCTGGTTTGATTTTATAGCTGAATTCAACCACACGGGCTCATTGAGCATGTCATAATTTAGTTTTCATTGCAAGAAGAAAATGAGAGTCTATCTCAAATTTTGAAGAAATATTGAGGAAATTAAAAAATTATCTGGATAAAAGTGCATAAGGGGCGTGTGGAAGCAGAGATAAATGAACACTGCCAGCCCTTCATAAATGTATTATTATATTTGTGTATAATTTATCACCTTGGATTTAGGAATGAAAACTGATTATGTTTCAAAAGCAGCTAAGTAGAAACTTACTTGAATTTGAGCAACAGACAGAGCTAAAGAGAAGAGAATAGACAGACTGAAATTGAAATACCCAAGAAAATAGCATTAAGAGCCTGGTGACTGGGAGAAGGTTAGGGATCCTGCCTTCTAGAAGTGTTATATTGGCTCTTGATCCCATAGTCTATACGTAGTGCTTTGGGAATAACGGGGCTTTCCCAGATGCTAACACTACCAACCAACATAGAGAACCATCAAGGTATAGCATTTCCTCTAATATTATTTCTTTTCAGTCCTTTGAGAAAAGTCAGTTAAAGTAAATGTCATTGTTGTCATGCAGCTTGGAGGCCTGGGAGATATGAGGTCTTGTGAAAATGTGCTAATTTGAACATTGCGTATCAGGAGGAGTTGGTGAAGGGAAGGAGGGTCCTGCCAACTTTTTTCTGTCATGAAAAATGAAGAGGACTATGGGTGGTACTCCAAGCTGGAGCAATGCCCTTCTCTATGAATGCATAAAAGACGCAGGTAGACTTGAGCGGGGAGGACCCAGAGAGGCCCTTGAGGCTGGAGAGATTTAGCCTGAATCTGTGAGTTGGGCATGCCTCCCTTGGGGCATCCTCCAGAATGCTGGGCAAATTGCTGGCAGATTCAGGGCCTTACACATAGCACAGGGCAGTGAGAAAGCATAGTGGTTAACAGTGTGGGCTCTTGAGTCAGATAAACCTGGGTTTGAAGATGAACACTGTCACTTCTCGGCTATGTGATTTTAGGCAAATACCTTACTTCTCTAAAGCCTGTTTCTCTCGTCTTTAAAATGGAAATAACAGTATATCAGTCTCATAAGATTCGCTGCTGCCTGGAACAGTGTAAGCACTCAATAAATGGTAGTTTTGAGGGTTATTTTATTTCTAAAGCCATATGTAGTCAAGTGCCATCATATGACAAATGGTAAGTGCAGCAGTCGTAAGGCATGGCCTAGGCACTTGGGAGCCCACGACAAACAGCTGTCCTGAGAGCTCCCTGGGAGGAGTACCAACATCCGATCCCCATTATGCAGCTCTGGACCCCATTAGCCTCCCAGCTCCAGTATCCTGCCCATTCCCAAATGACCCGATAGACACAGTAACTGGTCCCGTGTTGCGACACGATTAGGATTTTTGCATAAGAGTTCAAGTTAAACAGATGTGAGTCATCTTATTCTTTGGTTCCATAGCATTTGGCTATGCAAATTTCATATTCTCTTGGCTTCGTTTTTCTCCAGTGCCCAACACCAAATAGTGGAAGCAGAAAGAAATGTCAATGGCTGCAAGGGCACGGGGGGAACCATCACTCCTATATGCCTTCCACTGGAAGTGAGACTGGAAGGGTATCAGGCTGGATTTGTTGACACCTTTGATGATTCTGTAGGAGGCTTTGCCAATGTCTTATATTTTGAAATTCATGGCAAGACATAAGCAACAGATTTGGCAAGAGGAAATATTATAACCTGAAAAATGGGACAGATTACTAGAAAAGCAGCACAACCAGGGAGAAGGGAAGGGAAAAAAAGGATGACAGAATAAAAGGAAAAGAGAGAAAAGTAAAAAAGGAAATTGAAGAGAATTAAGTGTTCTGGTGCTGATGAAGCTTAAGAATCAGGAAGTGATAATAACAATAATAGTTATAAAAGTAGGAATGAGATGGTTAGAAAGCCTCAAACAAAAACGTTAGGAAGGAGGGGATCTTTCAGGCATTAGGTGATCCATCTCCTTTCTTTATGGCTAAAGAAAAAAAGAAAGAGAAAAAAGAAGAGAAATAGAGAACCCTGCGTGTCTGGGCCTTTGGGTCTAGGGGATTGGACTATGATCTATGAGACTCTTTCCACAACTAATAATCTATGAATTTATAAGTCATGTATGTTTTTCAGATTCCTTTTTTTGGTTAAGACTTATTTGGCTAAATCACTGTGGTCTGTGTAACTTCTGATGAAAGCCATGTTGTGTTGGATGACGTGAATGCGTTTGATTTTTCGCAGCTCTCAAAAAGTCAGGATCATAATGCCCTTCAAAGTTCTAAGTAGCTTATACAGTGTGATCATGTTTTTTAAAAAGTCGACCAGCCTTCAGGTATGTCCTGGGCCTAATATGCTGCTTTTGGGGAGGTAAGAATCTAGGCTAGAACCAGGTCCTAGAACTTGGTGGCACTCATTTGGGTGATTCCTCAGTTTCCTTGTTCAGCTCTATGATATCTGTTTCCTTGGTGTCCAGGTTTTCCATTAAATACAGCATATCAGAAGAGACTCGAGAGCCAGCCACAATGTTGATCCCACTGATCTCTGAGGATGTTTCTGTGTCAATTAAAAGAGCTGGCTGAGAGCTCATGGGGTCTGGACTTAGGTTTCCCAGGGAAGTGTGGCTGGACCCCAGGAATCCCGGAAGACTCCACCTTTTTAGAAAGGTATCACCAGGGTCTTCTTCACAGTTGAATATATTTTCCTCAGCGCTGGCTGAAACTGTCTGGGGACTGGGGCCTCCAGGAGGTGTCTCCTTCTCTGAGGGAGACAGGATGGATCCCATGGGGCCCTGCTGCTGCTCAGTCTTGCTTGGCTGAACCCCTGTAAACTCAGAGCTCAAGATGGAGGTAGCGGAATCATGGTGGTAGCCCCCTGATGTGGGCACTGGTGCTTCGGCTGCTGTGATCAATACCTCAGGTACCAGTGGCATTTTGATGGGGGAAGTTCTCACACTGGACTGTGGGGTCAGGCTCTGTAAAGTGCTTGTCTGGCTGGTCTCCCTGATGGTGGACAGCTCTCCCATGCTGAAGTGCAGCGTGGGGCTTCCTTCTGGGAAGCAGGATTTCTTCCAGGTGGGTGAGGCCCTGGGGGGGTTTCTTGAGGGCACATCCAGTAGGTCCCTGGCTGGGCTGAGGTCATCTCGGGGTAAGAACATGGAGCTGTCACTTGTCTGCCTCCTGTAGCTTCTTCTTCTGGGGCTGGAGGGGTGTTCGTGGGCACTCAGGAACCGCTTGACTCTTCTTATCATGGAATGCCGATGGCCATGCTTCTCATAATCCCACAGCCACTCCTCGTCAGGAAAGTCGGACCCAGACAGCCTGAAACACACAATGACAAGATCCAGGCAGAGTAGCTTCGGGGGCCTAGCTTTGGGGGCAGAGTCTCAAAGTTAAGAGATGACTTTGGTATTTTTGCCTTATAGATTTTTTAAATGGGGGTTTGAGGACTTGAGATAGTCTAGCAGAGGCTCACACACTTTTTGATCTCAGATCCCTTTTAAACTCTTAAAAATTATTGCGTATCCCAAAGAGATTTGCTTATGTGGGTTATATCTATTACTCTTTACTGTATTTAAAATTATAACTGTGGAATGTCTGAAACACAAGCACGTACAAGCACACATTCCGTTGACTGCTAAGTGATGACATCACCACATATCTTGTGGCCTCTGGAAAATTCCACTGGACACTCTTGACAGAATGAGAATGAAAAAGGCAAATAACATGTTGTGCTATTATGAAAACATTTTTGACCTTCAGGACTCTCTGGAGTGGTCTTAGGGATCCCCAGATATCCCCAGACTACACTTTGAGAATCACCGATCTAGAGACTTGGACATTAAGAAATATCTATATATCTATATCTATGAATCTATCTGTCTGTCTGTCTATCTATCTATCTATCTGTCATCTAGTATATGTTCTTTCTCCCTTAGTACAGTTGAATTAAGGCCAAGTTTCCCAAGGACCCATAAAACCCCCCTTAACAATGGATCATAGGTAAATTCACGAGCGTGCGATGCCCAGCTCACATTTATTGACTATATACTAAGGCCCAGCTAAGCACCTCCTATGCATTGATTCATTTAGTTATCACAATAATTAGATGAGTTGGTATTAGTATTATATCATTACAATACAGTGAGGTATTACTGTATTACTATAAAGTGAGGTATTAGTATCCTCACTTTACAAATGAGGAAACTGAGGCCTGGAGAGATTCACTAAATGTACGTAGCTAGTTAGAGCAAATTCGGAAGTCTGGCTCCAAGCCCTTGCTCCTAATCCCTTTGATGGAAAGCCTACTACACAGGGGTCAAGGGATGAGCTAGAGCCCAGGGTGGAATAGTGAGTAAAGCACAGTCCTTGCTCAGAGGTAATTTGTAAACATTCCTGATAAGGCTTTGCATTTATGTCTGTACAATTAGGGTTAAAAAAAGAGAAATTGGAACCTTGTGGAAAGGATATATTCATCCAGTTAGGGTGAACTTGCATCGCGATTGGGCTCTGCTTGTGATAAAATTTGATGGATTGGCTACCAAGAATTTCCTGCTGAATTTCTACCATTTAAAAAATAAAACAAATAATTCTACCATTTAATTAGTTAATTTATTTATTTGAGACAGAGTCTTACTCTGTCGCCCAGGCTGGAGTGTAGTGGTGTGATCTCGGCTCACTGCAACCTCTGTCTCCCAGGTTCAAGTGATTCTCATGCCTCAGCCTCCCCAGTAGCTGGGATTACAGGTGGGTGCTACCACACCCAGCTAATTTTTGTATTTTTAATAGAGAGGGAGTTTTACCATGTTGGCCAGGCTGGTCTCGAACTCCTGACCTCAAATAATCTGCCCACCTTGCCCTCCCAAAGTGCTGGGATTACAGGCATGAGCCACCACACTTGGCCAAACCTACCATTTTAAATCTCCTTCAGGACTGACATAAAATGAATAATTGAGGTGAGATAAGCCTGTTTGGTAGTTTGGTCTACTCTGGCCTCGGATTACATAGTTATTTGCCACACATCTCTGTGGAATTACAGCCTTAATGGGGTTTGAAGAACAACTTAAAGCCTTGCCCTTGAACTACAAATGCTCATCATGCTAGCTCTGGGAGCAACAGTAACCAGCTGGTCCCAGTCCACTATTGGTAGTGACATCTCTGGTGACAAGATGCCGGGTGCATTTTATGTGACATGAAGGAGAACATTGGGACAGTATAATATTGGTGTAACTTGAAAGGGCAAAGCAAGCAGCCAAAGAAACGTCGTTCCTCATGTTTATGAATAAAACATGGATGACTGAGATGATTAACTGGCTGAATGTCCTGGGACGGCGTTCGATTACAACCTTGTGCTGTTTTTCTAAAGCCTCAGCAGCGCCCTTGGCTACCAGATAGCCTTCTGACCCACCCTCCACTGTGTGAGGGTCAGATTCTATTACATCGACTTGAGAAATGCAGACTCATGCTTCAGTGGCCTTGGTGACCCTGCTGGGTGGATTGCATTTGGTCAGCTCTCCAGTCACACTCCACAGGCACCCATTTAGTTAGGGAGGAGGACACCAGAGGAGCCACAAGTGAACTTGTTCACTAACACAGCCACTCTGGATGTGTTCTGGGAATCAAGGACAAGCTGGCAATCTCTCTATATAGGACAGGCGTCTGTCTTCCATTTGGGATCTCAACTATTTATTTAGGATTTGTTTTTTTAAACTACCTCTAAAGGTTGCAATCTTGTAAGAAAGACAGTCTTCTAGGAAAAAAGTTTATATTTTTAATACTTCAAACTTTGTGACTCAAAAGACAAAAACCTTATGCCCTGGTATAGGACATATGTATTATACCTTCAACTGCAGCAAGAGGTATAAACTCCTGGGTCATAGATGGGGGAAAATAGACAAGTTGCAACAAGCAAACTGCAAAACGTCTGGTGCTCTTGCTATGTTGGACTGATTCATAACTGACATTGGGTAGGTCTGCCAAGAAGACCCTATTGTACCTTCCTGGCTCATAAGACTATGGAGTAGATGCATGAGGTTTATCTGTTTATTCACCCGACTAAATTTATTGAGCACTTATCATAAACAATTTGTTGCATTAGGTACCTTTTAAATTATCACTTAAAAGGAGAGAGAAGACATATAAATAAATATTTACATTTGGGGCAAAGCAAGTTTTTGAGCTAGGCTTTGACACTGAGTGGGAATTGGATGGATAGAAAAGGGACAGAGCATTCCAGGTGAAAGAAGTGACTTGAACAAATAAGGCAGCAGGAAAGTTTAGGGTGTTTGTGAGAAATAGGAGATACTTGAATCTGTGTGAAACACACAGAAAAGTGTCAGGCCTAGGCTGGAAAGAGGTCCTTGGACCGTGCCATGAAGAGTCGTATACCAGGTTGTGGGATGTGAACTTTATCCCGGAGACAGAGGGCAGCTGTGGATTGTCTTTGAGAATGGAGGGCATTGCTAGGGTTGTGTGGTGTGGGTAGGGGTGTCCATGGTGGAAGGGTACACAAAAAGCAACGTTGATGACTGCTTTAGATAAGAAACATGACTTGAAAACTTTTCACTCCTTTAGTCTGAAACAGGGTCTTTAGAAGCACGCTTGGTGATCAGTGCTCTGGGGGGCAGTTTTAAGTATCTTACACTGAGTGGTGAATGATGCCCTCCAGGTCTTAATGCTGTAACAGAGCAGTAGGGAAACTCCCCAGCATGACAAACCTAAAGACATTTCTTCTAAATGCTTCCATGGAAGATCTCATTGCCAACACACACTGTTCATCTCCTCCTTTCTCTGGTAGCCACTATTCCCAATATGACAGCAGAAGCTGTGCTTTAAGAACAAAATAGTTTAAAATAGAATACGTATATATTTATTTATTTAGAGACAAAGCCTCACTCTGTGACCCAGGCTGGAGTGCAGTGGCACAATCATGGCTCACTGTAGCCTTGACCTCTTGGGCTAAAGTGATCATCCCACCTTAGCCTCCCAAGTAACTAGGACCGTGGGCGTGCACCACCATGCCTGGCTAATTTTTTATTTTTGGTAGAGATGGGGTCTCCCTATGTTGCCCAGGCTGGTCTTGAACTCCTGGCCTCAAGTGGTCCTCCTGTCTTGGCTTCCCAAAGTGTTGGGATTATAGGCGAGAGCCACCACACTCAGCCTTAGAATAGTTTGAAAGAGTATTTCCCAAATGGGAGGCTGGAGTATAAATTTTAGTTTCTTTTATTTTTTTTTTTATGCTCCTTATTTGATATTTAAAGTGTCCTCTTAGTCTAGGGTTAGTACAATCCTGAGGCTCAATATAATACCACTTAACCAACTAATAGCAGAAATATTATACGATAGAATAAAAGTACCCTCATTATATTCCTATGTATTAGGGAGAGTCAGCTGAAAAAGCTAGGTTTTATGTTCTGGAACTTATTTGGACTGAGAGAGGCAGGTAATTAGAGATAGGAGGACATTCATGAAAAGTGTCATGCGGCCATCAGTTTCCAGGGATAAAATTTGAGCACTGTCTCTGTGGTGGGAAAAATAATTTATTTTGAGAGCTTGCAGAGCCAGGATTGCTGTGTCTATGCTGACACCAACCAGCTGTGTGATCTTTGGGGACTCATTTAATCTCTTGTGACTTAGCATCATTCTTGGTAAGCTGGTGATAATTATCCTTTACCTGCCTTTTAGGTTGTTTGAAAGTTCAAAAGGGGTGACCTGTGTAGAAAAGCTTTGAAAGTAGAAGATGTAAAAAGGACTCTGTCAATGACTGGCAAACTTTCAGAAGTGGTTTCCAAGTTATCATTGACTTCTCAGACAGGGTTGGAGGAGATGATAATGTGTGTCTGAAGGTCACTCCCTTTTCTTCTTCAAGATTGTCCTTTTAAAAATGTTACTACACCTAGGAGATATCACTTAACAACACCTTCAAAAGGGATGACTTAGCCATTTAATGATAAGCCATTTAATGATAGGGCACTGGGTGGGTGAAGAGGAAATATAAGAACTGGAAGAAGCTGGGTTATTTGAGGGAAGGAAGAGAGGTCTGCTCCAATGGTGAAAATTGTGGAGACAGACTGCCCTGACCTTGCCTCTCAATATTGTTTTTTTTTGTGCCATTTTCCAAACATCATCAAACCCTGCAATACACACTTATTGTGCAATAGAAACCATCAATACAAAAATATAGAAAACATGAGAATGAGAACGGTTGTGTCACATATTGGTCTATTTTTGAAAGGGAGAAGAGTAAAAGAAGGAGAAAGAGAAAAGGTTATCTTAAGCCAGTCAGGCTGGTTAGTTATAGTTGAGTCCAGAAGAAGGGAGAGCATGCATTATTTCCACAGGTTAGGTAGATGTCTGGATTAAAATTATTTTAATCTCAAGTGTTAATAAAAAACCCAAATTTCAAAATACATATGGAATACCTACACAAACATCAGCCCCATGGTTTCCCTTGCAAATGACAAATATCCAAGGGCATAAGCAGCCATGATTTAATTAGAAACTTTAAAAGATGCTTGGGCTGGTCAGGGGTGCAGAAGAACATGCTTCACCCTCTGCTGCCATAACAAAGAGGCAAGAAACAGGCTGATGAAGATGTCAGCAGACTGCCATACTTGTTGGGGTGTGTCTAATATAGAAAGACAAAAATAGCCCTGATTGCTTGAAGGATTTAATGCATTTCTCCAAAGAAAGCTTTTTGCAAAGCAACCCCCTTCTCACGAGAGTGATTAGGTAAATATAGAGCTTCAAAAAGATTGAAAGATAAAACTGGATGATGCTTGTCTCTCTTTCTCTGCTCTACTTTTGAAGCGGTATTTTGACAATTTTAATTCGAATAATAAGAGGCCTTTTTAACAGAATTGAAATGAGGAATTTAGGAAAATGATATTTAGTATGATGAATTCTACTTCTCACTGCAGATTTATTGTTTTCAAATTGCTAGTGTACTCACAGTCAGGCGACTGCCTTGGAGGGAGCCGATAATTTGCCTGAGAATCTATCAGGGCAGAGACATGTGTGGAGAAGCATTTTTTTCATGGGCAAAGCAAAATGTACTCTTCAAACCCATCTGAGGCGCATGCGGCTATTTTTAACCATCTGCACTGCAGAATCATCATCAAAGCTGTAGCCAAGGATTTATAAAATGGGCAAGGCAACCCTCCCTCTGAGCTGGGAGGTGTGGGGCTAAGGGTTATGAGGAAAATCCAGTGGACCAAATATTGTATTCATCCAGCCTCCCTCAACCCTCTTTCAGGTGGACAGTTCCAAGCTCCAGAGCATCCTAGAAGGTAGCCCAGAAAGCTGCATTTAGGGCTGATGACCCCACTACTACCCGTGTTGGCCTATCTGGTCATTGAACCAAGGGCTTTGGCAAATCTGGTTGAAGAAGTGGCCTCTTGTGCCTTTAAAGAGGCTTATCTAGCTACATCCTACCACCCTGGTTATGTTCTCTTGGCTCTTGCTGGCTGACACAAAAAGAAGTTATGGCCAAAAGTGGGGGTTCACTTAAAGTTCCCTCTTTAATATTGTTATATTCTATAGGAATTTTGTTAAAAAAGGAAATCAATCCATGTACACATCTGATACCATTTAAAGATGAAAACTGATTGCCCATGGTGACCTCACATCACAGTATGAAAGAATCCTTGAGTAAGTTCTAAAATTATAAACTTAATGCACATTCATCTCCTTGGAAGTTTCCATTTCTCCTTCCTTTCTGGTACATTAAGTGAAAAATCAATGTTCCCAGAATACACTTTTGTTGAAGTTAGTAATTCAGAATTTGAGATATTTTTGGTAGTTTGTAATATAAGCATGCAATTGTATGTATCAGACTACGTATTTTCTTGTAAAGCTAAAATATTTGAATATAGTTGACTAAAAAGGATTACTAAGTATCATCAACATAGAAGTATATTTAACCACACTTTAATAAAGTCTTCACTTACTAAAATATGTATTTTGGTATATTTGAATTAATATCACTAAAAATATTTCTGACCTACTGTATAACCCTAAATATTTTGTGCACATTAAGTACATTTGCATGTTTGTATAATTACTAAAAAATCATGTTACATATTCGTAGAACTTTTCGAATAAAGATAGATAAGTAGAAATTATTATTTCTGACAAAGTTTCATAGTACCAAATACGTCTTAAATAAATTCCTCAACCCCTAGCCAGAAGGAGCTCTTTAAAATTTTGAATATTTTTCCTCTTTACTAAGTGGATCCTTAATTGGCTTCATAGACCCCCTTTTTAAGATTATTATATATGTGAGAACATTTTGACATAATTATTTGAATTATAGCAGAAGAGCCCAATAAAACAAAGCTCTTTAAATGGGATTACAGTCAGCAGTTTAAAGTTTACAGGCTTGGAGCATGCTTTTAGATTAGCAAGACAGTTAGAGCAAGCACTCTGGACACACTTGAGTGATCCATTTCATAAGCAGTTACAGCCTCTCTTCTCCAGAATTTCAAATCCTTTAGCTGTTATGAATGGATAGTTTGTTAGGGTTTTTCCAAGGCCCTTAAGGGATTATCTTCTTTACTGTTGGGTGTTTTGATTTTCAAGATAGGACTAAAGGGCATTATGAGACTTCAGGTCTTAAATTTCTGTGTTTCATTCCTCAGAGTCTTAAACATTTGTGTTAATGGGTAATCCCAAGTAATTGAAAGATAGTAAGAATTTTGAAGTGACTTATGATGATATAATGTGAAGACAGGCATTCTAACTCTACCTCAAGCCAGTTGTGACAGGATAGTTCTGGACCTTGATTTTTGTTCATTTTTTTTTAAAAATTATTTTCAGCAACACTGGCTTGAATTTAAGCATTTAAAATTTCTTTGGGTAAAGTTATTTTTATCATGCATGTGTTTATTATTGTCCCAGGAAAACTCATTATTACATTAGGGTTTGGGTATACTTCCTCGCTGTGCATCTTACATACAATGTTCTTTTGGCTACTTGTGGGTGTTTTCTCGATCTTGGTTAATAGCATCTCCATAGTTAAGCTAATGAAAAGATGCCTTAATTAAAACGCAGATCAAGGCTGGGTACGGTGGCTCCCACCAGTAATCCCAACACTTTGGGAGGCCTTGGTGGGAGGATCTCTTGAGATCAGGAGTTCAAGACCAGAGTGGGTAACATAGCCAGATCTTTGCCTCTTAAAAAAAAAGCCAGGCATGGTGTCATGCACTTGTAGTCCCAGCTACTCAGGAGGCTGAGGCAGGAAGATCGCTTGAGCCTAGGAGTTCGAGGCTGCAGTGAGCTGTGATTGCACCACTGTACACTCCATCCTGGGTGACAGAGGGAGTCCCTGTCTCAAAAATACAAAAGGCAAAAACCAAACAAAAGCAAGAACAAAACTCCAGCAGATTAGAAAGGATTCCGCAGTATTACAAAAGAACAAGCAAAACAGAGTCAACTGAAGGGATCCCACATGAGATAATGGTAAAAGAATTCACACAAGAAATACTTTTTCATTGCTTATTAACTCATAAAATGGCAAAGTGTAGATTACTGGCCATGCAATAATTATCACTATTTAGTAAATGCTCAAGACTGGCATATTTATGAAAGCATTTCTATTTTGGGGACTGCATTCAGATTTTTAACTGGCCTTTTTTCATTTGGAGTGTTGATTTTGAAGCTGATTTTTAACATGCCCCATGCAAAGATCAAGAGACGGAACTTCAGCACTGGTTTGGTGTTAAAGCTTATAAAATGCAATTTTAAAACAGTAGCTCTTTGGTCCCAGATTAGACAGAGAAAGATGAGCTCTGTTAAAGCTTCCTTTAGATTAAGACACGATGACTAGATGAAGCAAGAACATTGGTTCCTGCTTTCCTGGCTGCACAGGCACCATCTCCCCCTCTCCCCTTACTGTATCCAACTTCAACTGCTTCCCTGTAGCTCAGGCACTGGGACCTCCCCCCGCCACCCGGGGCCAGTTCTGTGACTTCTTTAGGACCTTGCTCTGTCATCCCCCCTTGCTCCTGTGTCTTTCCTCTCTTCCAGTGGGCTCCTTTTGCTCAGCCTGTCTTTTTTCCTTCCTTTTTCCAAACAAGGAGAGTTGTTAATTTGTTTCTTTATCACATCTTGCTTCATCTTACAAAGGATTTGATGTGGCCTTCTGGAAATACATACAATGCAATAATATTATATACTATATCTAACATATAAAATATTATATTTATATATTATATAAATATATATAATATAAAAAATCAAGCCAATATAGTAGAGGTAGAATAAGAAACAATGATAAAAGATACAGACTCTAGAAATACATTCCAAAAAAATCCCATTCCACAGACTTAGTAAAGGTAGGCTACAAATTTGATTGTCAGCTTCCCAGCAGCCAAAATGAAAAGGAAACCATCATTAATTATACAATTATAAAGTTTGTAAGATAAATAGCGTAAGATTTGCCCAGAAGAGGCAAAGCTTTCTTTCTTCGCCACCAACATCTGAAATGCATTTCCTCCTGTGAGTCCTCTGCTAAAAGGGATGCCAAGTCACACAGTGGACAGCACTACAGCGAACACCAGAGGGAGTCTTAATGGCTCTGTCCAAACAAGGCCAGGGTACAGCAGCAAAGTGAAATTCAGTAAAAGGGATGCCAAGTCACACAGTGGACAGCACTACAGCGAACACCAGAGGGAGTCTTAATGGCTCTGTCCAAACAAGGCCAGGGTACAGCAGCAAAGTGAAATTCAGTAAAAGGGATGCCAAGTCACACAGTGGACAGCTCTACAGCGAACACCAGAGGGAGTCTTAATGGCTCTGTCCAAACAAGGCCAGGGTACAGCAGCAAAGTGAAATTCAGTATAGGTGGTGACGATAATTCTAAGGAGGCCAAGGTGGGCGGATCACTTGAGGTCAGCAGTTCAAGACCAGCCTGGCCAACATGGTGAAACCCCGTCTCTACTAAAAATACAAAAATTAGCTGGGTGTGGTGGTGCACGCCTGTAATCCCAGCTACTTGGGAGGCTGAGGCAGGGGAATTGCTTGAACCCGGGAAGTGGAGGTTGCAGTGAGCTGAGATCATGCCACTGCACTCCAGCCTGGGTGACAGAGAGAGACCTTGTCTACAAAACAAAACAAAACACAAAAAAACAAACAAAAAAAAAGGCAAGTAAAAAATATGCCATTAGCCTTACTGAAGACAAAACAAAAAAGCCATCCCTAGAAGTCTGAATTGAGGAGGGAAACAGACCAGAGTCCCTGTCTCTTAGTGAATACAGTCTGGTCTATTTACCCCATCAATTCAGACTTCTCAAAAACATAGTCCATGGATACTTAATGAATTGAGGAATTATATGCGTTTTGGGTTTGTTTTATTTTTGTTTTTTTAAGTATGAAAATGGCATTATGATCTATTTGCTTTACCATGATCAAATGGTGGGGAAGATAAAGGCGGGTGGAGAATGAAACAAGACTGGCCGTAACTTGATAATTGAAGTGGTGATGGGTACATGGAGCTTTTTCATAGCTTGTTCTCTACCTTTGGAACTGCTTAAACTTCTTTTTTTTTCTGAGACAAGGTCTCGCTCTGTCACCCAAACTGTAGTGCAGTGGCATGAGCTTGGCTAACTGCAACCTTCCCCTCCTGGGTTCAAGTGATTCTCCTGCTTCAGCCTCCCAAATAGCTGGGACTACAGGTGTGCACCACCATGCCGGCTAATTTTTGTATTTTTGGTGGAGATGGGTTTCATCATGTTGGCCAGGTTGGTCTCTAACTTCTGGCCTCAAGTGATCTGCCTGCCTTGGCCTCCCAAAGTGCTGGGATTACAGGCGTGGGCCATCATGTCTGGCCCGGTTTGAATTTTTCTACAATAAAATTATTTTTTAAAAACAGCTTACACTGGCAATTTGACCTTCTTACTTATCAATCACTTCTAACCTACTATGGTTTAATTTCTACCCCACACTCTCACTTAAGCCTCTGATGACCCTAACATGCAAAACCTATGGCATGCTTTTCAGGCTTTATTTGGAAACTTTGTACCTTTGGCCTCTTGGCAGGGCATTTTCTGGGTTACTCTGCATCTATATTGACCATTCCTACTCTGACTACCCTTTTCCTCTGACCACCCTTTCAGTAATAGTATTCTACCCTTCGTATTCTGCTCTGTTTCCTTGATACTGTTCTGATTGCTCCCACCCACTCTTTGGTTCTACGTACTGATACCAGTAAAATGCATCTTCTGTCCCTGGACTCACTGCATGCTGGCCATCTCCATGTGAATTGCCCATAGAGGCCTCAAATTCAACACATGCAAAAGGGAGAGCTCATAATCTTTTCCTTAGAGCAGTTTCACCCTTACACTCTCTCATCTTTGGTTTATTACCGTTCTTCACTCCTTCTCCTTTCTTGAATCTGTCCCTTCTGTCACCTCTACCGTCTACATCCCTTGTGATACACCTACTTCAGGCCCTTATCCTCTCCTGTTTAAATGACAACAGCCTGCTAACTCTGGCTCTGGTCTTATCCTCAGCTATCTGTCTTTCAGCCAGCTGCCAGGCTAATCTCTCCAAAGCAAAAATGTGACCCTGTCACTTAATAGCTTTGAATAATGGCTGAAACCCTTACCTGGCCTATAAAACCCTCCATCTTCTCCCTTGCCTCCTCTCCAGATTCATTTCTTGGCTCTTCTGCTTTGCCTATCAAATTGTTACTCTGAGTATACTATTTATTATTCCTTTCTGTCTTTGCCCATATTGGCCTGAAATGAGCCCTCTGCTGAATCCCCTCAATTCTATCTGTGCACTGGCTCCTAATTCATTCTTTTTTTCTTTTTTTGAGATGGAGTTTTGCTCTTCACTCTTGTCGCCCAGGCTGGAGTATAACGGTGCGATCTCGGTTCACTGCAACCTCCTCTGCCTCCTGGATTCAAGCGATTCTCCTGCCTCAGCCTCCTGAGTAGCTGGGATTACAGGCTGTGCCACCATGCTCAGCTAATTTTGTATTTGTAGTAGAGACTGGGTTTCACCATGTTGGCCAGGCTGGTCTCGAACTGCTGACCTCAACTGATCCACCTGCCTCAGCCTCCCAAAGTGCTGGGATTACAGGCATGAGCCACCATGCCCGCCTCCTAACTCATTCTTAAGGATGCATATTAGAGTCCCTGACTCCAAGAGGCTTTCTTTGAGTCACCAGGCTGGGTGAAGTGTGTCTTCATTGCGTGTGTTCCCATAAGGCTGAGCGTTTCTCCACTGTAGCATTTACCACATTGTAATGTCACTTTTCTCCACCTTACATCTGTGAGCTTGGGAGGTGTTTTTTTCTTTTCTTTTTTTGACTACCTCTAGCATCTGGCATAGAACCTACCTCATAGTAGGCCCTGAAAAAGATTTACCAGAATAAATAAACGAGCACATTCTGTATGTGAGGGTCCAAGGGAAAATATATTTTAAATTTGTGCTTAAGATAGAAAGAAGGAAAATTAATTTATTTGAGTTATATATATTTGGTAAATATGCAGAAAATAGGGCCATGTTTTGAACATGTCCCTTAATATAGAGAATAAAGACATTGTCTCCAAGGAGTTTCCTTCTGAAGTGGAAATGAACAGTGTGCTGAATGTGAACAGCGCTGTTGAATGTGCTGGCTGGGAGGCAGGTCTTCTTGCAGGTGGCCCTTGGAGAGTAGTACTTTTGCTCTGTTCTTGAAGGATATTGCTTTGATTTTAGAATATCCGGGTTATGGGAATTGTGGCTACAAACCCAAAACATTGATATGAAAAGGTAAGGAAAATTTGATTTCTGAATTAAATATGCTGGGAACATACACCTTAAAGAGAATAAGAAAATTTAAAAAAATCTCATCCAGGAAAGGATTTTATATGGTCACCAAGAGGCAGGCACTTTTATAAAATGTAATGCTTGTGTCTACAGCATCTTGACACGTGATCTTCACTCTCATGCAAAGAGCTCATTGGCTCAGTCAGCACCAACAAGACCACCAGTGCTACAGTTCTTAACTTTTACCTTCCCCTTGCCCTTAGCCTCAGTCAGGTGGCTCATTTGACATTGACCTTGTATTTGGTGAGGGAACCATTCATTGCTTAGGGAATTATCTTCTATGATTTTAGAGAACATCTATTGTTTTTGCTAGCCCAGCGAAACCATTCACCCTTCTGATAATAGCACCCTGCTTTTTCTTGAGATATCACATACTCCATATGGTTGGACGGGGCTGACTATAACCCTTGGTTCAAAGATGGACCTATAAACCAGCCATGAATAGTCAAAATATTGTCTCCCTGTTGATAGTAATTAGCTCAGAAATGGATATGTGAGCCCGAGCCCAGTCAGTCATAGCAAATCCATCACTTCAGTTTCAAGAGTTGGAAAAGAGATGTGCTCTTTCCATAGGTTAGCTGAGAAGGTAAGCTGTAAGCCTGGAGCTTGCCATTTTGCCATTTTTGCCCTCAGGATGGGAGAGCCTGCCTGAAACCTGAGCCAGTGGAGAGAAAAGCAGACCTGAGAGGGATGGGGCAACAGTGAGTCCTGGTGACATTCTCTGAGCCTCTGGATCTAGTGACACCCAAAGCTAGGCTCGTCTCTGGATGTGAAACTATAAACCTCCTTTAGCTTAAGAAAGTTTGAATTTGGTTTTCTGTCATAGGCAACCAGAAACACTTTTTCTAATACCACAATCATAGGAAAAATAGGCATTAAGAAATCCAAAGGGGGCCATTTCTATCAACTCAGGGCTTCTGATCGCCTATTTTCCTGCAGTAAATTTTCCTGGATTGTGGTCCACTTTAATGGTCCTCATTTATACAGAAAATCAAGATCAAGTGAGCTTTTGCCTAATTGTTTCTTTGAACAATTGGTTCTAGCAGATCGAGTTAAACCTCTCACAAAACCCTCTCCCAATAGGTTCTGGCCTTTGTCTGTTCCTCTCTCCATCCTGCTGGTAAATAGGCCATTTTAGTTGGAGGACTTCTCTCTGACAACTGATAATTTTTTGCTGCAGTTTTAAATATTGTACCTCCTGGTTTTCTCTCAGTTGTTTTATTTTCTGTACCAAATTTCCAGGGTAAGTTTAATATGAAGAATAGCTTAAAGTGATTTAATCTTTCTCTGCTTCAGTTTGACATCCACAAATAAAGCTTGACTAGGTGATAATAATCATCATGCTCTATGATTTTATATAGAGCATCTTAATGTTTACAATCTCATCTAATCTTCCCAATGATCTTTTGGGGAAGGAATTTTCTCTGAGATCTTGTCAATCCCTATTTCTGTTTCTGTATTTAGAAACAAGAGAAATGTGTTTTAATATTTGCTAAAGAACATGAACATTTATGTAGTAATCTGCAGAATTATGATGATTAGGATAAATAAGTAGGTCAGGATAAAAATTTTGAGACCTTCAAAAAATTATCTTAACCATGGGGTAACAACAACTCAATGGACATAAGAAATAGAGTGTTTGGAGCATTTGCAGTCTAAATAGAGTTATCACAATGATGCTCTGATTCTATCAGTATTGCTGGTCTCTTTTCTTTTCAAGTTAAATCGTCAAGTACTTTGCATTAATCAATGGTGAGAGTGAGGAAAAGGATAAAGCATATTTAATTATCTAAAATCAAACTCACAGAAGAACAGCTCTTATTAATTCTGAAAATTGAGATGATTGCTGGATGTCCATGAAGCTCTGCCCCTGCAGAAGGTATCATGAAGGCTGAGACATGCATACAACAAGAGATTCCTATCCATGGAAACTGAGAATACACTGAGGGCAGGGATGAGCTCTCTGGCCTGGAAGGAGCCCTGGGTGGGTGGGTCTGGTCTTAGAAGGCTAGCTAGAAGCAGAAGCAAATCTAGCCTGGAGTAGGCAACCTTCTCTAAGATGTGCTTTGCGGGCAACAAGGCAAATCTCCTGGCTCCTAAATCGTTCTCATTATTTGCTGGAACTACTGAAATTCCACTTTCAGTCTTCCTTTTCTTTGGGTCTGGAAAGGTTTTCAGCCTCAGAGGCCCCTTTGGAAGAGAAGTGCCACAAACCATCACTGATGGGGATTAGGAGACATTCGGCAAAGGGAACAGGGTTGAAGCGAGATCTCCTGAAAGTAGAAGGAGGAGGGCAGGCCACTTCAGGGAGGAGGGAAAGAAGGGTCATAGGCAGCAACCACAGGACACAAACCCACTGCACAAATCCGCTTACAGCAGGCCTCAGGGAACTATGAGCCACAGTCTTGCCAAGAATTATAAGAAAAATTCCACAAAAGTTTCCCCTTTTGCTACAGTTTTTTTGTTTTGTTTTGTTTTGTTTTGTTTTTGAGTGGAGAGTTTCTTACTTTCTGAATTAGTCTGTGCTTTTCTCTTTAATTTACTTGGAAACTGTGGCATCTGCCTTCAGCAAATATACTTAAACTTCTCCCACATTCACACACTTCTCCAATATCAAATACATGCTCAGACTTAATGAAATTATTATAGAACTGTACCTGATTTACTTCAGGCCTCAACTCATTTATTTAAAGCTCATTATACTTAGGGGTGATTGCTGTGTTAAAACCACTGAACAGAGACTGACTTACATACTAAGCCTAGGTAGAAAAAAATGCCAAAAAAGGTAAAAAGATTAGAACAGTGATCTATCTGTTCATTTCCTAGATATTGGAGATATTTATTTTAATTTTCGTGAATTAATTAATTATTTTTCTTGAGACAGGGCTTCACTTTGTCACCCAGGCTGGAGTGCAATGGCACAATCACAGCTCACTGCAGCCTTGAACCCCTGGGCTCAAGCAATCCTCCAACTGCAGCCTCCCCAAGTAGCTAGGACTACAGGTGACATCACAGTTGGCTACTTTAAATTATTTTATTTCTTTTTTTTTTTTTATAGAGACAAGGTCTCACTATGTTGCTCAGGCTGGAAAATATTAGAGATTTTTTAAAAATGCACTTACCCCATCTGGACTGTTGACCCCAGAAATGAGGGTATGCAGTAGTCAGCAGCTGCCAATGTGTATGGTGGGCGAGCAGCAGAATCGTCCCAGTAAATGTCCTTCTTCATCTTGGGTAAGCTCATGTGCATTTCGTCCACAGCTAAAAGAGAGACCTAAAATCATTGTTATATTGTTAGAATAACTCAGATGTAAATTAAATAAAAAGGAGAAGTTTTTTTGGGCAGATGAGAGTTAGATTGGGCTAGGACACAGTCTAAATGAGTGAATATACAAATGTCTGTAGTTCATACTTGCCATGACCACAGCTGCCACAGAGAGTTGTATCTGTTGTTTACTACTCGAGAGCACTTGGCGATGAGGATAAGTGGGGCTTGAAGCCTCCCACACTCCGGGATCAAACCACACACTCTAGAGTGGAGTTGCCTCTTAGCTGGAGGGAGGGGAGCCATCTTTTTATTCTTTGCTCACAATTGTGGTGTTGTTTTACCTGATAGCACCTACTTAACCCCAAATATTACAGGAAGGTGAAGATTCCGCTTTTCATTCTGTTAACCCTGTAAACACATTTTTACTTGACATCACTTCTTATATGCCCTGGTTTCTTGTTCATTTCTTTGTTTGGAAAAACATAACAAGAAGTCTATACTGCTCAGTGCTATGGTGCTCTCTCCTCTTGGCTTTGACAAAGTGATGCATGAATACATTATTAATCCTCTGGGATTCCAATTTTGACAAAGTGAGTGACCTAGGCATTATGCGTCCTCCCTAAGAGACTGACATTGGGATCTACTGTGAGATGTTTGAACTTACTTAACTGCCGAGTAAGGGCTTGAAACAAATGAAAAATGTGAAGGCCTTCACAGGGAAGAGAATGGTCTAGGGAGAGTCTTGCCTAAAAGGAAAATTCCTTAGTGCTGTTTCTTCATGAAAAGCTCTCTGGAATAGTGCTTCAGGGTAAGTGCCCTGGGGCCCATTTAGTGCATTTCATGCAGATTTGAGACACAAGCTGGCATGGCCCAGGCTCCCAGTGTCCAGCTGGTGGCTATCTGACTGCTGGGATTGACGTGATACCACTTTGGGAACTCCCACCAGCTTGTGTCTGGATGCCATTTTAAGTCACTATTAACCTCTCTGGTTGGCAACAGAAAACAGACTAAAGAACAATTTAAAATACTGCTCTATGCTGAGATGAAAGAGGCTGGAAAAAGCTAATAGAGGGCTTACAAAGAAAATTGGCTTGAAATTCTACTTAAAAGGAACTAAATTTCACTGGAGCTGAAATCTCGGATGTGTAAGCTTCTGAAAGGACCTGAGACAGCACAGTGCACAGCCAAGCCTCTTTCATTTGTGGCTAAAGCTCTGAAGCCAAGGGGTGTGCATTTGAAATCTGCTTAGATTTGAAATATCGCAAGTGATTTATTATTAACATTTGAAAAAGAAAGAAAAATTCCTCTAACCTGCAAATTTCTGTCAATGCACCAGTTAGTTTCAAAATCATCATCATCTTCTCCAAAAGGGTTGATAAGCTGCTCTGCTACCTGTAGTTGAGAACATAAAATAAATCCATCATGATACCTGTGAAAACTCAGAATAGAGACTGAAGATGATTCCTGTTTTCCTCTCTGCTTCCTTGTGTGACTTTCTAATACGAAGAGTAGAGGGGAGTAGATTGTTCTACCGAGATATTTATTAGCGAGCAAGACATGATTCTCAAACCATGAATGATGCACCTTCGTAGGTATGCTCTCCAAATGGATCTGTCCATTCAACTGGTGACAATGCAGGCCCTATCAGGGGAAGCCATGTCCTATTTAGGAGCCAAATCAAATGACTGAATAGTGAAGGAGAACCAGCTATTTGCAAGGCACTCTGAAGGGTACACAGGCTATGCTTTCAGGGAATTACAGGGCCCAGATGATAAGACAAAATGTACACAGGGAGAAGGTTAAACAGTAAAGAAAGACTTAAATCACACTTAAAGAAAATAATATAAGAGGCTTTCACAATTTATTTTTATTTTTATTTTTTTAGACAGTGTCTCGCCCTGTTGCCCAGGCTGGAGTGCAGTGGCATAATCTCGGCTCACTGCAAACTCTGCCTCCCAGGTTCAAGCAATTCTCCTGCCTCAGTCTCCTGAGTAGCTGGGACTACAGGCGAGCACTATCACATCCAGCTAATTTTTTTGGATTTTTTTTCAGTAGAGATGGGGTTTCACCATGTTGGCCAGGCTAGTCTTGAACCCCTGAGCTCAGGTGTTCTGCCCTTCTCGACCTCCCAAAGTGTTGGGATTACAGGTGTGAGCCACTGTGCTTGGCCGAGCTTTCACAGTTATTGAACATAACTGCTAAGTAAATGAGTTAGAGAGCTAGTAAGTCCTAAAGTTGGAAATTGAGGCTTACCTAGTTTTTACCCTAAAGGATTTACTCTTATCCAGTAAGTTAGTTTTCCTGCCGGGAAAATGTTAGGTAGCTATTGTCACAAATCTTTTAATATTTGATCAATATTAAATATTCTTATCATGTTCCTGAATTGAATAGCCTTCTTGATGAGAGGTTTATGTATAAAATACAACTCATCTATCATTTTCCTTGTTGAAAAATTTCCCTTGGTTTTTATTATCTGGACATGCGTGCATGCTCGTGTGTGTGCGTGAGAGAGAGAGACAGGGAGAGAGTTGGGGGAGAGGGAGATTTTACATTGAGTCTAGATGGAAAAAAATTTTAAATGTGTAAAATAAAGGCACCATGTGATTAGTTTCTAGAGTCTAAACATTCTAGATTCTGAAACTATTCAGTAGAAAATCTACCTACTTATCTTTTAGGATTTAAGTCAACGTATTAATACTTAGAGCAGTGTTTTTCAACCTTGGCTGCACATTAAAATCACCCGAGGAGCTCTTAAAAAAACCCGATTGATGCCTGGGTCCCTCCCCGAGAGATTCTGATTTAAGCAGTGTGAGGTTGAGGCCAGGCATCAGTGTCAGGTAAAGCTCCCAGAGGATTTTCATATGTGGCTCTTATTTTAAGTGCCTTTCCTTGGGCAGGTCTGTGCCCTGAATCAGTAAGCCTCACAGTGATATCTATGTTGAAGTTCTTGTCACTAGTTCCATGGGGCTATCTGCCCTTTCTTGCCTGGAGATTTACTTAGATTAATTAAGGGTACTGGTTGAGTCCTGAAACCTATTTTTATTCCATCCAGATTTTCATTTTTATGCAATCAGTCCTGCATGTATTATCGTAGTCTACATTAAATTGACAAAATGGCATGTATGATTCTGAATTGACCAATCTCAAAATATATCTTTTATTCCACTGGGGGCTGCATTTTCAGCAAGTAACTGAGTGATATACTATTCATAAGGTTAAGATAGCTTTTCTGCACTTAGAAAACATTTATAAATATCCTAATTGTTGAGATAGAACAGCTGTTTAGAAATGGAGGCACAACCCATGGTTTAGGTTTGCCTTTTTTTTTTTTTTTTTTTTTGGAGACAGAGTTTCGCTCTTGTTGCCCAGGCTGGAGTGCAATGGCTTGATCTCGGCTCACCGCAACCTCCGCCTCCCAGGTTCAAGTGATTCTCCTGCCTCAGCCTCCCAAAGTGCTGGGATTACAGGCGTGTGCCACCACACCCAGCAGGTTTGCCTATCCTTTAATGGAGCTAAGATTGTGCCTTTTAATATTTTGTCTTTTAAGATTTATTTTTTTTATTTTAGACAGGGTCTTGCTCTGTTACCCAGGCTGGAGTGCAGTGGTGTGAACATGGCTCACTGCACCCTCGGCCTCCTGGGCTCAAGTGACCCTTCCACCTCAGCCTCCCACGTATGTGGGACTGCAGGCATGCGCCACCATGCCTGCTAATATTTTGTATTTTTTTTGTAGAGATGGGGTTTCGCCATATTGCCTAGGCTGGTCTTAAACTCCTGAGCAGTCCTCCTACCTCAGCCTCCCAAAGTGCTGGGGTTACAGGCATGAGCCACCGCACCTGATTTTAAAACAGTTTATAAAGGAAAAGGATGTAAATATTTTAGAAAGCATGTCAGAGGGAAGGAACCATTATCTGCTCTTTATGGGCTGGTCAAGCACCTTACATGGAGACAAAACAAAGAATAAAAACTTGGTGCAAGTCAGGGGAAAGAAAGAAAAGTACTTTTTGAGAATGATTATTTGGGCCACTGTGGTGATTTTATATTTATAAAGCTAAAGTCTACTTTTTCCTCTAATGGAAAATGAAAGTCATTAGTCTCTTCTGCTTTCTTGCTCTTACGCAGGTAGAAATAATTAAGAATCACAGTAATCTGATTAAAAATTCTTTTGCCATTTGTAAGGGACTTGGCTTTACTCTTTGGAGTATAATTTGAAATATCAACATATTATTTTTTTTTGGTGAAGAGTCAAACCAATGAAAGGAAAGGCTTCTGCAGGGAAAATTTCACTGCAACCTGAAGGCCCCAGTGGGTCACGACAAGGTATGGCTCTTTGGAAGGCCAAACATTTGAAAATTCTACTTTACGAATATCATCTGCATATCATCATTGCCTTTGAATGAACTTAATGAAGCCATTGTCATTGATTTTTTTTCTATCACATACTTCCCATTTGGAAGTTTACAGAGGTGATGGAAGAATCAGGTCTCTGATATTTACACACATACATTTGAGGAGGTGGTGGTGAAGGGAGGGGAAGCAAGGAAAATTCTACACAGATAGTTAGGCAAACCATTCTCACCTCCTGAACCTGTTTAATTCCCTGGCAAACCAGATGTTGTCATTGTTTCTGGTGTTTCTGGTTCTGATTCTGATGAATTCTGAGTCTCAGTTCTGGTTTTGAAAATGGGGTACATTTAGACCAGGCGCGGTGGCTCACGCCTGTAATCCTCGGGAGGCTGAGGTAGGAGAATTGCTTCAACCTGGGAGGCGGAGGTTGCAGTGAGCTGAGATTGCGTTACTGTACTCCATCCTGGACGACAGAACAAGACTCTGTCTCAGGGAAAGTAAAAAAAAAAAAAAGAAAATGGGGTACACTTAATGTTGTGGGACACCTAGCAGAATTTCAGGGAATTGCAATAACTATAGAGTTGAGCAGAACCAAGATTCTACTACAATATTAATGGTTAAGTCTGATTTACAAGGCTTCTTGTTGACTCTTTTACTCTGCCTAGTTGCTTGTTGTGGTATACAATATCAATGCAAGTACACTTACTACTTTAGTTACATTATTATAATCCTAATGGGAACACACAGAGACTTAAAAGAGAATCAATAGCCATAAGAGTGTTCTTCTAATGTCTTTGCACAAATGAGCTGTTTCTATCCCTGTCACTTGAATCTCTGAATCTCTGGCAGAAAAGTAATAACATTGCTGAGCCATTACATGTTAAATCTACCTTTGACTCACTCATGAATGATTTGCTAAAGACTCAGTAAAGGATTAGTGTGGAGAGTCTGGAACATAACACATTACAAAGTGGGGCCCTGAGACCACTGGCTACCTTAAGCCATCCTGCATAGAAGAAGAATTGTAGGAGGGTGAAGATGGGAATGTAAAGATCCAAGTCATGCCCTGCGTAGCCTTTGGTGGGATCCAAAAACTGGCGTCCAATCAGGCACGCAAAGAAGAAGGTATAGACAGCAAGAGTGACAACCTGGAACAGAGAGAGACCAGAGTGAGGGGACAGTGCTGGCCTCCCGCAGCGAAGCTACAGTGCCAAGGTAGGCAAGTAGAAATAAAGAATTCCATGAAAAGTATTTCTTACCTGGGTGTAAACCAGCGGAATCCCAACCCAGTCATAACCGAATAAGAGGCTGCACCAAGAGCGGTATCGATTCATTTCCTAAGCCAGAAACAGATCAAGCATGATTTACTAAGATGACGGGTGTGGTAATAAGTACTTACTGGGACTCAGAATGTGAGCATGTCTTTTACAGGACTGACTGTAAGGCTAGTAAACTGATTCCCAAGGATACTCCAAAAGGAAAGTTCTAAAAATGACAATCAATCAATGAACATCATTGGAGCAATGAGTTTGTTGACAAGTACATTTGGACATTTTAAAAAATATTAAAATAAGTCATGGCCAGGTGTGGTGGCTCATGCCTATAATCCCAGCACTTAGGGAGGCCGAGGCAGGAGGATCTCTTGAGCCCAGTAGTTTGAGATAAGCCTGGGCAACATAGAAAGACATTGTTTCTACAAAAAATACATAAATTAGCTGGGCTTGGTGGCACACGCCTGTAGTCCCAGTTACTCCAGAGGCTGAGGTGGGAGAATCACTTGAGTACAAAAGGTCAAGCCTGCAGTGAGCCATGATTGTGCCACTATGCTGCATGTAGCCTGGACAACAGAGTGAGACTCTATTTCCAAAAAAAAAGGACTTCATAGAAATATCCCCCCGCCATTCTATTGAACCCATAATTTCCAACATGTATATTGGCCCAAAGTCATGGTGAGAAGGAAATTGTTAATGTTTTAAATAAGTAATTTTTATCGATTTTGGTAGGTAATCTGGAAAGCAAATTTTTTGTTTCTCTCATTTTAAAACATGCTTACCGTAGATCTTAGAAAAGAGATATAATTACTCCTGTTTCCTCCCACAAATGGAGACTATAACACTCATATTGATAGAAAATCTATCTCTGAAGCAGGAAGGACAGGAGTCTTTGATTTTTTTCATCGATTGCACAAAGTTATTATGGAAGACTAGGGAAAAGAGTTCACATCAATTTGGGCGCTATTTTTAAACAATTCACTTCCGTTAGCCTAATCCAGGGAGGGGACTGTCATGGCACAAATATACCCAGCCCTTATATAAAAAAAATTTTTTTCAGATGATTTCAGGGTTATTTTGATTAATGAAAATACTATTTTACTTACTAGAGTATCTGAAAGGCTGGCTTAACCTCGCGATATTCCAGTTTTGGGGAAATATTAGGCTGGGGAGGTTTATTTCTCCTCCAGGTTTTTTTCAAGGATCCTGGAGCCAGGTATGGCAAATATACTACATGGGCACCATAGCTTTTCGAGCCCTTGGCGACCCTTGGCTAATCAATCAAGGAATACTTTCTTACAGAGCCTATTACAAAGCATGATTCTGTTTAAAACGCAGCTTCCAAGGAACCATTTCCAAGCAACCTGAGTTTAACCTGTGTACCACCTCTGTCCTGCATGTTGAGAGGTCTGACACTAGTCCAATCTTTCCAGTTCCTCTGGAACCAGGACTGAACAAAGCTGACTCTTCCTGGTCTAACGTGTTATATCCAGGTCCTTCTTGGTCTCTAATTAGCGTATTTTTCTTATGATTTATGATATACTTACAGTCATCAATGATTGCAGATCAACACTGTCTCTGATTCTACCTTCATTCCGGGCTTTAGTTGCAAGATTTCCAAACCAGATGAATGGAACCCAATATTTCAGATGAGGAGACTTGAGGTGGTTGAATAATTTCCTTTCATCTGTTGTCATAAAACCTTTACAAAAAAATAAAAATCGGTAGGTATACAGACTTAGTTTGACACTAATACGTTACCATATTTCAGCATCTATATAAAAGCATATAATGAGGGGATATTAAAGAAATATGGAATAAAGCTTCCTGTCTCAAGTAGTTTATACTTGCATTAGAGTTAAGGAATGTGTGTGTGTGAGCGCACATGCACACACACATACATATACATGCACACCCACAAGTTATATAAAATCCCTGATAGAGGAGGCCATTAGGAGGTAAGGAGACATTAAATGTGAACTAGAACATTTGGGGAAATTTCTTCTTTAGGTTTTGGTTTAGTCATCTAAAGTTGGGAACCATAATACTTGGAATTGTTACGATTAAAATAATAAAATATGATAACGTATATAAAGCACTTGGCATAGTGCCGAACACATGACTCACATGACTTTTCTCCTGATCTCTCCTTTCCAAGTCCTACTTAATCATGTCCTCCTCTCTGAAGCCTTCCTTGAGTCCTTCTTTCTCTTTCCTGAGGGATTTCTTCCCTTTAAAGTTCCCACATGGTACTCGCTCTTGGCTTGCATCATAGTAATATTACACATAAATGTTTCCCTTACTATGACCCTTTTGAAGGGCAAAGAGTATATTAATGTTCATCGTCCCCATAGCATTTTGCACATACTTTAAAATTGTTTCTTTGTGGCAGGGTGCAGTGGCTCACGCCCTTAATCCCAGCACTTTGGGAGGCCAAGGTGGGTGGATCACTTGAGGTCAGGAGTTCAACACGAGCCTGGCCAACATGGTGAAACCCCATCTCTACTAAAAATACAAAAATTAGCCGGGCATGGTGGCACACGCCTGTAATCCCAGCTGCTGGGGAGGCTCAGGCATGAAAATCGCTTGAACCCAGGAAGCGGAGGTTGCAGTGAGCTGAGATCGTGCCACTGCACTCCAGCCCAGGCTATAGAGCGAGACTGTCTCCCCTGCCCCAAAAAAAGGGTTTCTTGGTGTGTGTGTGTGCATGTGTGTATGCATGCGTGTGTGTGTGTGTGTGTGTGTGTAAAATGCAATTTGCTTGGGCTTGCAGTGAACTCTCTGAGCCTCAATTTTCTCATCTGTAAAAGAGAGATAATATTTGCTTCACAGGGATGTTGTAGAATTACCTGAGATGATGAACATGTGTCAAGATGTTATTTAGCATAACGCTTAGCACACACTTAGCACCCACAAAGCACTAAGGTATATTATGTGAAACTTTAATTTTCCTCTGCCTACTCCTCCCTCCCCAAACACCAAGGGAAGGGGAGATTGAATGACTGAATAAGAGGAATAAGGTAACAGGTTTATTTAATAAACATTTATTGAAGGCCTGCTATATACCAGGGTTTGTTTGCAACAAGATGCACTTTAAAACTTACAGTTTACACTTGATCTTTTTTTTTTTTTTTTTAGATGGAGTCTTGCTCTGTCACCCAGGCTGGAGTGCAGTGGCGCGATCTCAGCTCACTGCAAGCTCTGCCTCCAGGGTTCAGGCCATTCTCCTGCCTCAGCCTCCCGAGCAGCTGGGACTACAGGCACCTGCCACCACGCCCGGCTAAGTTTTTGTATTTTTAGTAGAGACGGGGTTTCACCATGTTAGCCAGGATGTCTCAATCTCCTGACCTCGTGATCCGCCCTCCTCGGCCTCCCAAATTGCTGGGATTACAGGCGTGAGCCACCGCCCCTAGCCGATCTTTTCTTTTTAAAAATTTTGACTGAATAATTCAAATGGTACAAAAATCCCAAAGGGCCAAAGGACTGTTAGTGGAGAAAGTCTCCTTTTCCCAGCCATAAAATTTCCCTCCCTGGAGGAAATCACGATGATCTGTTTATTGTGTATCTTTCCAGAGAAATCTCATGGATTTTCATACAGGCCTATTTTTAAAAACACAAATGATTTTATACTACATATGTATCTGCCATTTGCTTCTATTTTTCAGGTATATCTTGAAGATTTAAAAAATTAATATATAGAGAGCAGCAGCATTCCTTTTAATGGCTGCTCTCTATATATTAACATTAATTAATAGTTAATAGTATATAATATTTTATTTAGCTAGTTCCTTTTTGAATAGACATTTAAGACATTTAAGTTGTTTTTTATTTTTTTGCTACTAAAAATAATGCTGTAATGACTCTCCTGGTATTTACCCCCTTGGCTCTTTAAGTAGCTTTTAAATGTTAATTATGATTTAATATAAATAGTGTTTTCTGAATTAAAACTTACTTCTAAAACTGATTTTTATTAGATATTAATTTTTGAGTTTTTTTTTCTCAGAAATGCAATCATTTGCTTATGGAATTCTGATACTACATTCAGACGAAAATCAACTTTTGCCCTAATATAACACATTTTTCTATCTTTAACCATCTGTAATCAGTTAACAAATCTGGTTGTCCTATTTAAGGTAATCCTTTTGCCGGGTGCAGTGGCTCATGCCTATAATCCCAGCACTTTGGGAGGCCCAGGCAGGAGGATTACTTAGGCCAGGAGTTTGTGACCAGCCTGGGCAATATAGCAAGACTTCATCTCTAATAAATAAATTAAAAAAATCCTCCCTCCTTATGATGCAGGCCAAATTTTATTTAAGAGGTAGTGTTTCAGTAAAAAAAATGTCAAAGGAGGAGTGAGGTATGCCCATTTTTAGAGTCATCAATTTATAGAGCTTTGGTGTTCTCTAGATCTTTGATGTGACTTAGGCCGTTGTTCTTAAGAATAAGATCCAAAGGCCATAGGTCTGAATCACCTGTGATATCTATTAAATATGGAGAGGCCTGGACCCCGACCCTGACTACTAAATCAGACTCAGTAGGGCAGGAGTTCTCAACCCAAGTCTGCACCTTAGAATCTCATAAGGGGACTTTTAGAAAATACCAATGGCAGCAAGGCGTGGTGGCTCACGCCTGTAATCCCAGCACTTTGGGAGGCCGAGGCGGGTGGATCACTTGAGGTCAGGAGTTCGAGACCAGCCTGACCAACATGGTGAAACCCAGTCTCTACTAAAATTACAAAAATTAGCCGGGTGTAGTGGTAGGGACCTGTAATCCCAGCTGCTTGGGAGGCTGAGGCAGGAGAGTTGCTTGAACCCGGGAATGCAGAGGTTGCAGTGAGCCGAGATTGTGCCATTGCACTCCAGCCTGGGTGACAGAGTGAGACTCCGTCTCAAAAAAAAAAAAAAAAAGAAGAAAATACCAATGGCTGGGTCTTATATCCTTAGAGATTCTGATTCAATTGATCTAGGATGAGGCCAGGCATCAGCATTCTTTTAAATTTTCCTGGGTGATTTAATAGAATTGGGTCTAGGCAGTTGCATATTTACCAAGCTGTGCAGAAAATTCTGACACATAGTGGTGTTTGAAAATCACTGTCCCACTAACTGAAGGTTCTGTTTATTCAGGATTTGAAATAAACAAAGTAACAACTACAAAGCCAATATTTACCAACAGGAGACTAGTTTTAGATAACACTTGGGTTATTTATACTAGCTTAGAAGGGTTCTCTCCATGCCTGGAGAATGGTACTCTCCCTGGAAGTGTAAAATAAAAATGAGCTTGGTGATTCTCTTCTTGTTTCTCAGTGCATCTCAGAGTTGTTGCACAATCTAAAAAATCTGTTTTGTTGTTTGTTTTTTAAAGAATTGCAGAGCATGATTAAATTTTTTTTTTCAATTTTTAATGGGACAGAGTCTCCGTCTGTCATCCAGACTGGAGTGCAGTGGTGTGATCTTTGGCTCACTGCAGCCTCAACCTCCTGGGCTCAAGCAATCCTTCCACCTCTGCCTCCTGAGTAGCTGGGTCTACTGGCGCATGCCACTATGCTGGGCTAATTTTTGTATTTTTTGTAGAGACTGGGTTTCACCATGTTGCCAGGCTGGTCTTGAACTTCCTGGGCTCAAGTGATCTGCCCACCTTGGCCTCCCAAAGTGCTGGGATTACAGCTATGTGCCACTGTGCCTGGCCAGTTAAATCTTATTGGATGAAGTTAATAGATAAACTTGATCTGTCTTGGCTTTATGCTTAAAGACTTGCTGTAGCCTATTCTCACATATTCCATATCAATTGTCTAACAGTTATATTCTTGAGACATATAGTGCAATTTTAAAAAATGATCTCATTTATATATTGGCTTCAATCTCTGTCACTTGACCAAAGAATAACTTTATCTCTGGTTATTTTTTATTCAGAAGCATGGATCAAATTGTGCTAGCAAGTCCTTTCTTAGCTTCTAAGCAGAAAGCAAATATGCAGAGTGAGGGTTTATTTGGTGCAAACACTAAAGCAAGAGATTGAAAGAGGACAAGTAGAGCAAGAAGAGCTGGTGATTTTGTTTTTAGCACAAATTTATTGAGTATTTTGCTGGGTGCTGTGAAAGATGAATGACAATCACTGAGACATTAATGTATCCTCTAAGAATATATAAGCAGAATAATTTTTGTTATTCCTTGCAGGGTCACACATCTTACTTATCCAAAGTGTGAAAGGAAAATATCTTGGGTCCCCAAAATCACTAAGCTAAAGGGAAAAGTCAAGTTGGGAACTGCTTACGGCATACATGCCTCCCATTCTATTAAAGTCATTGCTCCATTCACTGAGATAAATGCATATCTGATTGCCTCCTTTGGAGAGACTAATCAGAAACCCAGAAGAATGCAACCATTTGTCTCTTACCTACCTATGACCCGGAAGCCCCCTCCCCACTTTGAGTCATCTCTGGCTTTTCCAGACTGAACCAATGTTTATCTTACATATGTTGATCGATGTCTCATGTCTTCCTACAATGCATAAAACCAAACTGTTCTGACCGCTTTGGGCACACGTCATCAGGACCACCTGAGGCTGTGTCACGGGTGCACATCCTCAACCTTGGCAAAATAAACTTTCTAAATTAACTGAGACCTGTCTCAGATTTTGGGGGTTCACAAAAGTAACTCCACCTTTGGAAATCAAAGTCGGTCAACTGAAAGAAAATCTCTAGGTTGTTGGTCAAGTCCATTCCAAAAGTATTTGTTATGAAATGGAATGTCACCCTCATCAGGACTTCAAGCCATTTTAAGCAGAGACCAATATTTTTTTCAGAATATGATCATTATTGTCATTGCTGAGGCTGTGCTAATTATAGTTACTGATTTGCTACAGTTCGGCAACACTCTGAGTGGGCTTGTCCTCCCACCACTTGGTTCCCTGCACGTGTCTGTCTCCATGCCATGCTCTCCTCAGGCCCCATCACACCCCTGGCATAGCTATTTTATCCTGCCGTTGCATCTGCCTACAGTTTCTCTTGCTATCGCTTTTTCTTCTGGCTGGCTCAGCTCTGCTCAGCAATTTTCATATTGTTTATCCCCAAATCCCTCCTTCATCTTTCTAATCAGAGTAAAATCTATCTCTCAATATAGATACATGTTTGCATTTACTCCCAATTGAGTTGTGGTTTGATGGAGCAGGATCTGCTACTTTAAGACAAAATTTTATTGCCCTCGAGCCAAAGGATTAATTACATCCATTGATAGACAAAATTCCAGTCATCATAGAGATTCTGCCTGCTGTACAGTTGCTCTATTTTTCCTTGATTGAAGTTGAGGCAGATGTCTTTTGCCTTTCAAGCAGAGTATTCAAACGAGGCTCTATTAGCAGAGGAACTAAAAGCTCTGCATCTCAAAACTTGAAGGCAGAATGGGTTTCATGCCAGTTCTTTCTGAAAGAGAGAGTTGTGTATTCAGCATCTGAGCCCTTCTCCAAGGGATGACACTTTTTCAGGAAGAGTGCAACGTGCCTGGCTTGTTTTTATCTCTGTGTTTTCCAAATGAATGGAATGAAGCCACCAGCTTCAGCTACAGCTGTCCTTTCCATTCAATGGAAGAGGTTTAGAAATCCCTGTCAATTGGGAAAATCAAGGGGGGAGCAAAATGAGATTGAGAGAGGGATGAAATCACATTGCAACAACATCATGCAGGGCAGGATGTCAACCAGGTTTTTTCGTTTGTTTGTTTTTTTACCATAAACCATAGTAAGATATATGTTGTTCACAAAACAGTTATTGGCCCTGCCACATGATGTGCTTTCTGCTGTTCTATTCTATTCTATTCTATTCTATTCTATTCTATTCTATTCTATTCTATTCTATTGTTCTCCATTCCATTCCACTAAAAATGCTGGTTACAACCCGTTAACCTGATTTAAGAATCCCATAATGAGTTACAAACCACAGCTGGAAAAGCCTGAAATAGGCTACGGTGGAGTAAAATCAGTTTCTGGGAGTAGCAATAAGGAATAGAGACAGACACTCCTCTATTATATTGATATGAGCAAATCTCTAGTTACCCATATCCTTGTCCATAAATTAGTATCCCATCTGGTAATTCACTGCCTTCTCCATAATCACACACAAGAAATAACATACAAAGAAATCAGTGCTTTTAAATCCTCATCTGCACAGTGGCCCAGAATTTTATTTGCCCTGGGTAGAATAGATCTGAGGCAATTTGCAGATGAAATCGGAGGAATTAATTGATGTGTTCTAGTGCAGCTGTTCCTAAACTCTGCTATACATTACAATGGTCTGGGGAGTTTTGAAAAATCCTGATGCCCAGGTTGCTCTACATACCTAATGAATCCTAATATCTGAGAATGGGAGTCAGGCGTCAGAATTTTTAAAAGATCACCAGAGATTCCAACATGCAGCAAAGTTTAGGTTGAACAACTGCCCTAGTGCTGATCATTTCAGCATTCTCAGTCTGGGTCAAACATCCTGCAGTGCTTCTAGGGAGCCTGTTTAAAATGTCAATTTCTAGGTCCTAAGCCCTAGATCTAGATTCTGATTCCCTAGGTTGCCTAGGAATCTGCAGTTTAAATAAGCACCCTGGCTAATCAGTGAATGTGGTCTGCAACCATACTTTGAGAAACATTGAGTGGATAGCCTTTATTTAACTCCTGAGACAGAAATGTGGGGGGAACCTTCAAACACTGACCAACCGACACTGCCTATCCATGCTATTAATTCAAGAAGGGCTAGTTTTGCATGCACTTTCTCTCATGTGCAGAGCAACTACACATAGGTGAGTCAAGTTTCACTCACAGGATGACATTCTGTCTGTTCCGGGCTCATCATGTGAGACTACAGAGGGGTGACTTACTCAGCCTCTAAAAGTTCAGCCAACAGAGGAAAAACTGGCACAGCTGTGAATACCACTATCCCCTTGGCTCTCACTCTTGTAACACAAGGCAGTGGAGATTCAGAGACCAAGGAACCCCAGAGCTGTGTAATGGATCAGGAAAAAAAAAAAAACAAACAGCCCACCCAGGGCAGAAATGTTATACCAGATTCAATTAATTTTGTGAATGTTACATAATATGTTATATAAAAGTCATTTTAGTTTACCTAGTGAGAGAGGAGAAGATCACAGATTAAATGATCTGTCTGTGCCAGAAACGCAAATGTGGTTCTAACAGTATTAATTCCATGTTAGAGAAAAGCTTGCTTGTTTGAATAATATTATTGTTTTCCTTGAGTTTGTACATTAGTCCCAAAAAACAGCCTCAAGAAAACAGGACCTTCAACAGAGATAAAAGAAAATATGCTGGCTGGGCTCGGTGGCTCACGCCTGTAATCCCAGTAATTTGAGAGGCCGAGGTGGGATCACTTGAGGCCAGGAGTTCGAGACCAGCCTGGCCAATATGGTGAAACCCTGTCTCTACTAAAAATACAAAAATTAGCCGGGTGTGGTGGCCTGTGCCTGTAATCCCAGCTACTTGGGCAGCTGAGGCAGAAGAAGCACTTGAACTGGGGAGGCAGAGGTTGCAGTGAGCCAAGATTTCAACACTATACTCCAGCCTGGGCAACAGAGCAAGATTCTGCCTCAAAAAAACAAAAAAAAAAGAAAGAAAAGAAAAAAAGAAAGAAGGAAAATATGCTGACCAACAGCTCTGGGAATGGGCTGACTAGCCTGTAAGAATAGGCTGATGGCACCTGCAGAAGGTCGCAAAACTTTCACCAAGAAAGCAATGATTAACTGCCCAGCTGACTGAAACTGCTCACATTTCACAAGACTGTTTTGATCTTCATTTCTCTTAATTTCCCTTAGAAATCCTTTACCTAGAGGCACAATTCTGAAAGGTGGCCTTTCAACCCAGTTCACTGCCTTCCCCTGGTTGCTGACTTCTCAAATAAAGCTAACGTTCCTTTTACCAAAGTTCCTGAGTTGTTTGGCTTTTAAGCAGTAAGTGACCCAGACCTGAGTTCCATTTATAGGGCTAGACTTAGAGCCAGAGCATCTGAAGTTAGAACTTTTATCTCAACATCCATTGACAGCTGGTGGCTTGCTTGGTTATATTAATGTCTGTTAACCATAAGTGTCACTGAAAATTCCAGTGGAGTCTCATCAGGCTCCCTGTAGTCATAGAAGACAGTCAAGAATCTTTACATTAAGATTCCAGGGCAGGCCAGGTGTGGTGGCTCACACCAGAAATCCCAGCCCTTTGGGAGGCTATGGTGGGAAGATTGCTTGAGGCCAGGAGTTCAAGACCAGCATAGGCAACATAGTGAGACTCTGTATCAAAAAAGAAAAAAAGGAAAAAAAGGGATTAAACAAATAAATAAGTAAATTGGCCAGGCACAGCGGCGCACATCTGTAGTCCTAGTTGCTCAAAAGGCTGAGGCAGGAGGATGGCTTGAGCCCAGAAGTTTGAGGTTACTGTAAGCTATGACCGTGCTACTGCACTCCAGGTTGGGCAACTGAGTGAGAACGTGTCTCAAAAAAAAAAAAAAAAAGACTCCAAGGCTTTAAGAAAATTAAAGGGTGTTTTTTTCCTCAGAGGTTACTGTCTTATAACTACTCTTATGAACTACTAAATACAGACAGAAACTATTTATTTTAGAGAGAGAGAATTGCAATGCAGAGATGTAAAGTTTAACTGTAAATATATTTGTGCTTGTTTATGACAATGATTAATTTAAGATAAGATTTGTAGTAAATTTTACTAATCCTTGAGTATGGGGACCATATTTGTTCTGCTTATAAGGGTAGTCCCAGTGCCCAGCACAGTGCCTGGCATATATTGTACACACAATAAACCTTTGTTGCATGAGCAAAGGCGTAATAGTTCTAGCACCAGCTTGGTAATGTTTCTTTAAGAGGAATGTATATAATTTCCTATTACATATCATTGTGCTTCTGGTAAGTAATTTTGAAGATAACTACTTTCCTCTCCTGATGCTTGTAAATACTAGATAAGATGTTTTGATTCAGTATGAGACCATACTATATGCACACAACTAAGGTCATCACTTGACTCAGCCAGGATCTGGAATTGTGCATCTGACTTGACTTGGAATGAATGACATCTCCCAGGGCAGGTGATTGGAATGACTGGAATTTTCCAGAGCAGATTTGTAGCCAATAGGCAAAAGTAACAGAGACTGTTGCAGTTTCTCTGATAAATAACTGATCACAGACCAGTTCAGGGACTTTTCAGCATAATAGACATTATTCCGAATTCCACTGTTGTATTTTTATTTTCATATAAGCAGAAACAAAAACTTTTTTATTTTTAATTTGAGAAATTTAACCTGTAGCATCAAATTATATATATTTCCCCAGCAGCATGTGTTTTGGTCTTGTTATTTTTCAGAATAATGTAACTTGACTGTCCAACTTAAAAGCAAGAGAAGTTCAAGGATGAGCAGGTATGTGACCTAGTTCAACCAGCGCCAGCCAAGAAATTGCCAGATGCTTCAGAAGGAGGTGCTGGTCCTCACTCTTGGCCCTCTCGCTTATTTCCTTCTGGCCAGCACTGAATCTATGGAGGCAAAAACCCTTGCAGAAGAAAGAGAAGCTGGAGGGAAACTGATTGCCTCAAAGCCCATTGCTTCCCAGAGCACAAGCCAGGGACCACCAGCCTCAGAGTCTCCAGGAGTTTGTTCAACTCATTGATTCCTGGAGCCCATTCCAGACCTACTGAGTCAGAATCTCTGGGAGTGGTATCGTGGGATCCAAATTTTTAGCAATATTGATTTTAACAATATGTAATGCACCCTGAAGTTTGAGAACATGTACTTTTTCTTACAGGTGATTTTATGTAGAGAATTCAACTGACAAGAAGGTCCCTCGTGCCCTTAACCTTGTCCCCACCCCTTTGGGGCCCTCAGTGCTTTACTTACCAGTCCTCTCTGCCCTCAGGCAGGAGCAGGTGCTCCGGCTTTGGACTCAGGGAATCTGCCAAACATTTTCCGCCATCCCTGAACTTCCTGTTCTTCCCAGAAACCTTGGCACAGGCAAAGGACAGTCAGAGAGTGGCGGAGGCATATGCCCAGTTGGAAGAACTTGGAAGCAGACCCCATGTGCAGACTCTGAGTCAGCCCTCTCTGCTGGGGAAAGCAGCAGGAAGTTCAGTGAGTCAGCGCTGCCGGTGACAGCGGGTGCCGGCCTGGGGCAGCCAGGAAGACAGGCCTCCGAAGCGTCTCTCCTGGCTTAGAGGATAGTGGCTTGGAACCTTTGCCCTGCCGCCTAACACACAATGCTTGCGTATAGTATGGTCTTATACTGAATCAAAACATCTTATCCAGTATTTACAAGCACCAAGAGAAGAAAGTAGTTATCTTCAAAATTACTTACCAGAAGCACAATATATTCCTGTGGGGACAAGATGTACCTACTACCTCTTTTCTGCCTTTTGAGAAAATACTTAGGAATTAATGAGAGCAACTGGGACCTTTTCACTGAGATAATCAGTGATTGTGTCACAGGACCCTTGGAAAGGCTTTCACCTCATCACAGCTCCTCTGTCAATTCTCTTCTCCCTTCATCCGCTTCAGACAAACCAACCAAAAAGTTTAAGTCAGAACAATGCTTGTTACATCCAAGCAGGTGGAATTCAGATCCCTTATACAGTAGCCTCCCACCAGACTGCTTCCTCAAAGCTCTTCTTTGTAATTCATGACCCTCAAGCTGAAACCTCGAATCCATCCTTTCTTAATTGCTGCTGCTTTGTTATCAGTAATGAGTTGGTGGTTGCCAAAGCCTTTTGCCCCAGGAGTGAGAAAAAGGGTTTAAAAAATAAGCATCCCAGAAAAGATGCAATACTTCTCAAACTTTGGGGTACTAAAAAAACCAACACAGGAGCATGTTTCACTGCAGATTCCTAGGCCGTACATCCAAAGGTTCTATTAGGTTCTATAATAATTCAGAGGGACTGACGTGGGTGGGACCCAGGAATATGCATTTTAAATAAATAAACTCAAGTTATTCAAGATGTAGAGGGCCTGTGGGTCTGTGGATCACTCCTAGAGACTAGTTTAAATGTACATCCAGAAGTGAAGGACTCATTTTGAGATTCCCTTGGAATGGCAGAAACATTGGTAGCTGAGCAGATAGAAGTATTTCAGTATTCCACATGCCTCGGAAAGGGAAAAGTCTGAATGCAAGTACATGGCAGACATCTGTACAATTTTGAGAGGGAGTGGGCCTTTGTATTCTGAAAAATACACTCAAAGGAAATGAAATCACGTCATTTTCCTATTTGCCTCCCTATATCTACTTGCCCCTCAGACCTGAGCACAGCTCAGTCCTCGGAGCTCATGTCTGACCAGAGGCCCCAGAGGCCTCTCCATTGCCAGCCAACCTGGCTTCTTCCTGGTGTGCTTTTAATATGAAGGTGACACTAAGAAGATGAGATTTGCTTTGAGGATTGGACCCGGCATCTGATTCCTGTCAGAATGCACTCTCTTCATTTCAAGGATGCGTCAGAACTAGAGAAATATCACCTCTGTTCATCCAAGTAAACTTTAGCTCATCAACTTGGAATAGGTCATACGTTTCTTGTTTGTTTTTAGGTCTTTCTTAGAGACGGTAATTCTTAATCTATTTGTTCCTGGAGACATTAAGGTAAGATAAAATTGAGCTGTCTAGTAGCATTTTTAACTAGGTCATTCTGAAACAGTATTCTACTTTCATATTTGGAGGAAGGATGGCAATTAATTTTTTTTTAAAGTTCCTACTGATTTTACATTATCATATACCTGTACATGTGCCAGGCCTTCAGACCCTCCCCCTGAATCCCCCTTAACCAACTCCTGGCACCCATTACTTTCTCATATCTCACTCTGCGTCTCTAACAACATCATCTACACCCTTCTTCCTTATTTCAACCTTGACATTCACAACCTCTTGATCAAAGTAGATAAAAAAGACCTGGGATATTATATTAATAACAAGTCTTCTAAAGTGGCTACTGTGCTATGTTATGCTGTTGTTTGAGATGTAATTTCATTACAATGGCAAGAAATTATGCAGCACTTACTGTGTGCCAGGAATGCTCTAAACATTTTGCAAATGCTAACTTTTTTAATCCTCATAACAAGCCTATGGGATATATGAGGTAGGTGCTATTATAAGTTACTTTAAGTCCATTTTATGGATAAGGAAACTGAGGAACAGAATGGTTAACTAACTCAGACAAAGTCATGTAGCTAGTAAGCTGTGAGATAAAGTTTCAAACCCTTACTCCGTGTTCTTAATCATTGTGAAATTTGATAACATAATTGGGTCATTCTTGTCGTACCCAACTAAAACAGAGTCAAGAAGCCACCAGGAAAAAGCAGTTGAGGCCAGGCATGGTGGTTCACGCCTGTAATCCCAGCACTTTGGGAGGCCGAGGTGGGCGGATCACAAGGTCAAGAGATTGAGACCATCCTGCCAACATGGTGAAACCCTGTCTCTACTAAAATACAAAAAATTAGCCAGGCGTGGTGGTGTGCGCCTGTAGTCCCAGCTGCTCGGGAGTCTGAGGCAGGGGAATCGCTTGAACCCAGGAGGCAGAGATTGCAGTGAGCCAAGATAGCGCCACTTCACTCCAGCCTGGCCACAGAGCAAGACTCTGTCTCAAAAAAAATATTCTTTGCAGGCCTGGTTGCTGAAACTGCCTGCTATTACCTGAAACCAGTTTTATAGTTGCTGAAATGATCTGCTGCAACTTGAAGACTAATTTTACCCACCTCCATCACTCACCAGTCAAAACTTGCCAGCTCCCCAGAAACTTACTAGTGCCAATGAACTTTCTCAAAGAGCAATATGTAACATTTCTGTCTTTTTATAAAACCTCCAACCTTCTCTTTGTATTTTGGACATACTGAATACCATCTGGTCTGTGTGTATGCCTCAAACTGGAGTTCTTTCTTCTCAAATAAAATGTGAAATATAGACATTCATCTCTACAGTTTTATTTTGACTTCAGTAGTTACTATCTGTATTAGCCATTTAAGAAGGCAAAACAAAAACAACAACAACAAAAGAAGCCAACACAAACTCCAAAACAAACAAAATCCGAAAATATCTATTTTTCAGGACATTTCAGAAAAGGAGACTAAATACTGCAAACTAATGTGAGACTGGACTCAATGTGAAGGCAGAATCACCTCACGCTTCTCATCCATATGTGCCAAGAATTATCTCATGTAATCCTCGCCCTACTGAAGGCTGACTTAACAGCTTCTTTGCTAAATATTTATACACCAAAGAGAATCATCCTTTAACTATCTACATCTCCTTTGAGGCACAAGAGACAAGAGGTCCATACTAAAACAGCTTTTGACTGTCACCTCTCAGTGTCTGCCTAGATGAAACTGACATTGCCAGTTCCTACCAGAATCTATTAGAAAGTATTAACTTAGGAGTTTGGAGCCTAAATTTTAATTCTGGCTTTTCCACTGATCAGCTGTGTAATTCAGGGCAGGTTATAACCTTTCTGAATCTATTTTCTACCTTTTTCATGTTTTCTTGAAGTCCAAATGAAATAGCTATAAAGGAGACAAACCGTATAGTGCTGGAAAACTGTAAGTTAATGTGACAGATTATTTTTATTTATTTATTTTTTGGGGACTGATGGGGACCTTGTCGCCCAGGGTGGAATGCAATGGCATGATCTTGGCTCACTGCAACCTCCACTTCCCAGGTTCAAGCGATTCTCCTGCCTCAGCCTCCCGAGTAGCGGGAATTACAGGTGGGAGCCAGCAAGCCCAGCTAATTATTGTATTTTTAGTAGAGACAGGGTTTCACCATGTTGGCCAGGCTTGTCTGGAACTCCTGACCTCAGGTGATCCACCCGCCTGGGCCTTCCAAACAGCTCGCCCAGCCAGATTGTTTAATAAATATGATAATTATTATGTTTACCTTAAGGCAACGTTACTATCTGCCACTTTCTCTCCCCCACCTCTGAAGTAAACTTGAGGGCAGGAACCATGTCTTATTCATCTTTGTCTCTTAGTTTGCTTCTGGCACATAGTAGGTAATCAATAAATGTTTCTTTTTCTTTTCTTTCCTTTTCTTTCTCTCTCTCTCTCTTTTTTTTTTCTTTTTTCTTTTTTTTTTTTTGAGACAGGTCTGGCTCTGTGGCCCAGGCTGGAGTGCAGTGCTGCAATCTCGGGTCACTGCAACCTCTGCCTCCGCCTCCCGGGTTCAAGTGATTCTCATGCCTCAGCCTCCCCAGTAGCTGGGATTACAGGCACACGCCACCACGCCCGGCTAATTTTTTCTATTTTTAGTAGAGATGGGGTTTCGCCATGTTGGCCAGGTTGGTCTCAAACTCCTGACCTCAGATGATCCGCCCGCCTCCACCTTCCAAAGTGCTGGGATTACAGGCATGAGCCACCGCGCCCAACCAATAAATGTTTCTTGAGTGAATAAACAAACATAAAGAATTTTCAAAGGAATTCTGGAGGTCCTGTCTCAGCTGAGAAGAGCCCATGGAAGGAAAAGCCATTCATAGTACCTGCTTCAACCACGTGGTCCATTGTGGGAAATCTTTTGTACACAGCAGTGCTCACCGAGCGAAAGATGAGCAGGGAGGTGAGATTGACGTAGCGCATCAGCGTCCTTCTAAGCAGGCGCCCGTGCTCGTCGCTTCCGTGAACACTGCTAGAGATGAGGAACATTAGCCTGTCTGGCCAGGGCAAATTCACAAACTGGTTCCACCATCGGTTCACTACCAGAGTAACATAAAACCCTGTAGAATAACAGGAAATTATAAAGCAGTTTCTTACAGCAGACACGTTGGTGACACTGATGCTTTTAGCTGAATTTTAGCCTTTTTAGAGGTTGGAGGACAAAAATATATTATTATCCATATCTTCTGATTTTGCCTTCCAGAAAAAAAATGTCATTTGTGCCTGGCAATGCCTAAGCACCCTGTAAGTGGGTATTAGATCTCAAATATTGACTGCAAAAATGGAGAGTTAGTGAAGAGAAAGCTTAAATGTCCAATAGCAGATTATTTCCTCAAACTTGTTTGGTGTTAATTTCGCAAAAGCAGCCGTGAAGGCAAACCTTATGGATGATTCTGGTTCTATTGCAAGCGGTGGCTTTTCAGGCATGCCTCTCAGCTTGGAAACACTCCCATGCAGAGTCATCGGTGTCATCCTAACGGAGACAGCTATGTGGCTGCAATCTGCGTGTGACCTATACTTACCAAGCACAAAGGTTACTGGAATTTGTTCAGCATATCTGTCACAGTAAATTGATAATTTTTCAAAGTAACGTTTTTGGACTCCTGTAAGTAACAATCTGGAGCAAAAATAAAATGCACAGCCCTTTATGATATTATACTTCTGCACCTGCTTTGCAAGTGACATTAAGTGCAAACAATTAAGCACAAATAATCTTTTATTTTTGAAGGATCAATAATTTTTTCCTTTTTTCTTAAACTGATGTGTCTCAAAAGCTTTTTAATTGCTTAATGTCTCAAGTGCTAACATTTTGTAAACATGATTGGCTATTAAATAGTGGGATTAATTAATCATTTTATTTTAAAAACTTTATATTTTAAAAGTTTTATATGATTGATTCATTGGATTTAGAGCAAGGTATGTTACAAAATAGTTCAGTTTTCAATTATTCATCAGGAATACCTTAAAAAGAGTGTATTATTGATTAAGTATGAATTAGCATTATTAAGTAATTGTTAAATAATAACACTGAATTTGACACCTTGATATTTCTCCTGAATATGCAACTTAGCACATTCTTGATTATCATGTGTATAATATCCCTTCAAGGGATATTATAACTGTTCATTTTAAAGCCCAGAATTGTTTGGAGTCTAAAACAAATTTAACAATGAGAAATGAAAACTTTCATTATTAAATTTAGTCACTCTCTCAAAATTTATATTATAGATCTAACCCAACCTGCCCAAACCCCATTTTCTGGTATTGTTAAACATAAGTGCATTTAATGAGACTATTATTGATATTTACATTATAGGGAAGAGATTCAGAGTCTGGAGAAATGTTTTAAGGCAAACTAATAATAATGACCAAAATACAGGAAGGAAAGCCAAACAGATGAATTTGAATAAATCGACGAGTGTAGCTGTTCCAAAGGAGGAAGGAACTCAAGGAAAGATCCATTATAACAAGCATCAAAGGCTCATTTGGGTCAGTAGAACTTTGATAAAGGAAGCAAAGGGATAATGAGATAACAGTAAGCAACCAATTAGATTGCAGATAGAGAGCTGTTGGGAGCTGGTCCTGACAAAGAAGGTGTGTGGGGTACAGGGTGAGCTTGGAGTTCCTGCCCCAGCTTTGGAAGAGGTGTTAGAATTACTGAAGTCAGGGAAAGCTGACAGGAGAGGTACCAGATTGTTGCAGAGGTCTATCAGGGTTATGCTGATGACAATTACAGCCAGAATGGTTTCTGATGTTCAAATAGACATGGTCAAAGAGGATTTAAATGTGGAAAGCATGGACCTTTTTTAAGGTCAGACAAAGCCAGATTTTAATTCCAAGTCTGACACTTATGAATTTGGACTTTGAGCATATTTTTGAACTCTCTGAGTCTCAGTTTTCTCATCTGTAAGTGGGGATAAAAATATCTATATATAAGAGGCATTGTAAAGATTAAATAATATATGTATACATATATATAACCACTTAACAAATTGCCTCATACTTAGTTAATAATAAAATGGTTCATATTAATAGTTGGCCAAAGAAAAAATATTTGGCTAATAGATGTAGAAATTTTAATAGCTAGAAAGTATTTCAGAAATTATTTTGTCAAATTCCTCCAAAAATAGAAATAAATGTAATCAAATTAATGAATCTGGTTCCTCCTTATAATTTTTGTTAGGAATAATTATGTACCTATAATAGAGCTAATAAAGACTTAGAGAATGAAACTACATCTATATTTTTCTATAGATGTGTTTGATTTTCTTGACAAACTCATCCTATAGTTCTTGGTATACCTTTGATTAAGATAGAAAGATCTATTTTAATAAGGTATTACAATTGAACTTTAAAAATTTAAGGATGACTTGAACTGATAATTTTTGTTATAAATGTAAGCCCTCTGCTTTAGAAGAAATATATGCATAAAATGTTGTGGGGTATAAGTATGATATTGGAACAAAAGTTGAGGCCCCAAGGAACATTTCTAGCTACATTGCAACTGTACTAAGGGCTATTCTGTTCTATTCTTAGCAGAAGTAGCAGCAATAAATTCACATTAGTAAAAATGAACTAATGAGATAATTATCACGAAACACCATTGTATCTTTTACCATTTCATATTCTGAAGGCTTAGGTGATACCTACCTAAATTGCCAAAATAATATCATATTATATGACATGTCTGAAAAATTATTAGAGGTTGTTAATAGGACTTTCCCTCTAAAAATATTTTGTCAAGATATATACCAATGCATACACTTGCTTGGAAGGGTTGTTTTGACATGTGGAAAAATAGCTGTACCTATTTTACTTTTAATAATTATCAGTCAACTACATTAATATCCCTCTTTTCCAAAGGAGATCCTGTTGCTGCAAGGAAGAATGTGAGAGCAATGAAACACAAATTTGTTTATCTGTATGCAGAAGAAAAATAACAAACTATGAACATAGAAAAAATGGAAATACAGCCTCAAAAACCTTTAGCTTTCCTGTTTTAAATTTTAGCTTCCTCCAGAGAAGAAATTTATGCATTCAATTTTAATAAAAAAAGCTTTAAAATCTCATAAGTCTTCCCTTTTATCATACTGATGAAATTTTATTAAGACTATAACTTTTCATCATAAAAATATTTCTTGGACTTGATATTGCTCAAATTTCCTGTCAATCTGACAGGCATATGTTGTAATGTTATAAAGAATAAGCACCTCCTTTTGTGAACATAATATACCCTCAACTCAGAAAACGGAAAGAAAATAAATTATTCTACAGGCCTTTGCTTTAGTTGAGGTACTGTTAAGTGTGGCAGGCATCATCCTGGATAAGATATTTTCATTCCAGGCCAAAAGAAGGAAAGCTTTTCCCTGACATACACCAATCATGAACATGTTGATTATATAGGTAGTTGCTACAAGCTGTCAAATCATCAACTATGAATGACAAGTTGACAGAAGCACAAATAATTATTGTCTGTGGACTTTGCCCATTCAAAAGTCTTTACACAGTAAAGATCTAAGGATAATCCTTCCATTTTGTGCCTATTGCAACAGTCTCGAGGCACAACTGGGGCTGGAATGAAGGCCACCTGAATCTTAACAGTGAGGGTCTATTTTACAACCTAACAATGGTTAGTGGTGGATTAAAATCTGTCCTGAGGGGAAGAAGACAAATGAGAGGCTCACGCAAAAAAGGAGTTCCATAATGCGAAGTCAGTGGCAATCAAAAGGTTCAGATTTTTGAGACTGTATCTTACACAATATCTGATGGCCATTTAAGGAGACATGTAAAGAAAAGTACCTGTATACCAAACTTATTGCTGTATAAAGAACAGCAAAAACAATAAATTCCCTGTACAGTAGTTTGTAGATGCTGCCTCTCCACTTGAGGAGTAACCTATGAAATCCAAAAAAAGTTGCATTTGCTACTTTACTGGAGTAAGTGACAGTCATCTTGGATAGTTTTTTCTAGAAGAGCAAGAAGACAAAACACAAGTAAAAAGCAATGTTTAAAATAGGGCATAAATCTGTATGTCTGTATATCAAGGAAATTCAAGCCAGCAACTAGTCAGCCATATCTCTGTTTTGTCTTTCTTAGTTTCTATAATTCGGAACTTTCAGATAACCATTATCTCAGTTTAGCAGAAAGCAGGAGGAAAGCAGTCTCTGGGAAGAGTAATATTAGACATCTTAAACTTGCCTTAACTGTTAAATATTATTTTTAGATTATATAGCCATTGGCCAATATATATTTGAATGAACAAATGAGACAAACAAGGCCCTCGTGAGAATTTAATTGATGGGGCACTTTTGGTGGGTTTGATTGCATGTAGATGTCTCTCTAGTGGAGGTCCAAATGCATCGTTAGCACTCATTGCATTTCAAAAGTCAGCCAAAAAGTTGGGTCATAGTGATAAATAAGAATGGTGCAGTTTCCCCATGACAAGTTGTACATAAATGCTTAGGGATGGTTCACATTCTCTTTGGAGTTGAACAAAATGAGGTCATTATTTACAACTCTTTCTACTTGAGTCCATTTCATGAATGTGGTTAGGATGAGCACTGGGCCCAAAAGCCTTGTTTTTGGTGAGTTCTTTGGAATTCCACCACTTTTCACCAAGACATTAAATATTCAGGTTTTGAAACAGACAGCGCAAAGCTAATCTTTGAAAATCTTGCTCAATTTCTGGCTAAGATAGAACATATGCAAATAAAATGAGATTTATTTAAAATCTTACTTTTCTCAAAAGGATCTATGAGGAGAGTCTTATAGAGCTACTTAGACTGAAATCATGAAGCTTTTAGATAGAATTGTACTAGACACAAAAAATAAATTCTGTAGCAGATTTCTTTTGTAAAGTAGCCTACACCACACATTTTATCATAAACAAGAAAATTTTCTATCTTTACTCATTGCTGGAAAAACAATTCAACTCTGATTTGCCTATTTTCCCTAAGGAAATGAAACTCTGGAGCTACGTTTACAGCATTTTCTAAAATCACAAACTTAGCTTTCAACATTACTGATTTTAATAAAGAAGGTAGGGCCTTTTGGCACAAGTAAGTGGCATTACAAAAGGATGGGACTCATGCCACAAAACCGGTTTTATTTTTCCATCTTTACCTTGTCTATTTGCCTAGTGCGAATACAGCCAAAATTGGGAGAGGAGCATAATAAATTAAACCCATTTCATAATTTGTTCTCATGGACTCCCGGTAGTTTTAAATAACAGTCCTTAATTAACTTTCCTTTCTTTCATTTAGTAGTTCACTCTTCTTTTCAAGCTCTGCCAGGAAAATGAAAATCACAGCAAGTAGAGGTCAGAATTAAAATGCATAGGTTTACTCTGGGCACTAACCTATTTATTTGGTTTGTAGTCTCCGACAGGAAAGAGAATCTTCAAATTTCGGGCTCCCCCGAAGAGGTGCCTTCAGGTCGGTGCTGCACGCCCGGTGTCACCCTTCGCTCGTGCACAGTCAGATTTTCTTTCTGTTCTCTGGCCACTGAGAGGACCCAGAGTGTGACAAGAACAGGGGTTAAATGTTTTTCCACTTGTAGAGGCCTGTTTATGCCAGTTTAGCCACTGATGACAGTTATAGCTGGGAACAAACAGAAGCAACAGCTGCTGATGCTGCTTTTTTCTAAGCTATAATTATAACTCCACCTGCCACCCCAAGTACCCCTTTGAATGAGAAGTTGGCAGTGACATGAAGGATGTTGGGCCGTTTGTCTGTTAGATTCATTTGACTCCACCCTGGGATCAAGGAAGAAAGGTTGATTTGGCCCTAAAGAGTTCAAAAAAGAGGCCCCACCAGCCAAAAAAAAAAAAAAAAAGTCTTTTTGTGCTTGAAATGAAGATTAAATTCTTAAAACTGGGCTGGAACGCGGTGGCCCACACCTGTAATCCTAGCACTTTGGGAGGCTGAGGCAGGCAGATCACCTGAGGTCAGGAGTTCGAGACCAGCCTGGCCAACATGGTGAAACGCTGTCTCTACTAAAAATACAAAAATTAGCTGGGTCTGGCGGTGGGCTCCTGCAATCCCACCTACTTGGGAGGTTAAGGCTGGAGAATCACTGGAACCCAGGAGGCGGAGGTTGCAGTGAGCTGAGATCACACCACTGCACTCCAGCCTGGGCGACAGAGCGAGACTCTGCCTCAAAAAACAGATGAAAAAATTCTTATGAAGCCATAAACTGGGGCAGACAAGAATATAAACAGGATTTTTGCCACTTGAGAGGTGTTGAAAATGTTCTTCAATTAAAAGCAACGATTATGTGTTAGTGTGTGTGTGGTGTGTGTTTGTGTGTTAGAAGAACACATAGAGAATCATGATATATTGATGGCTTAGTGTAGTGGGAAATAATAACACATGGATTCATCACATTTTTTTTCTTTTAAGATGGAGTCTCGCTCTGTCGCCCAGGCTGGAGTGCAGTGGCACGATCTTGGCTCACTGCAACCTCACCTCCCGGGTTCAAGCGATTTTCCTCCCTCAGCCTCCCAAGTAGCTGGGATTACAGGTGCACACCATCACACCGGCTAATTTTTTATATTTTTGGTAGAGATGAGGCTTCACCATGTTGGCCAGGCTGATCTCGAGCTCCTTACCTCAAGTGATCTGCCTGCCTCGGCCTTCCAAAATGCTGGGATTACAGGCGTGAGGCAACGCACCCGGCCAGATTCATCACATTTGTTATCCTTCCATGGTCAGCTAGGAAATTTTTTCTTTTTTTTTTTGAGATGGAGCTTTGCTCTTCTTGCCCAGGCTGGAGTGCAATGGTGCCGATCACGGTGCACTGCAACCTCCGCCTCCCGGGTTCAAGCGATTCTCCTGCCTCAGCCTCCTGAGTAGCTGGGATTACAGGCATGCGCCACCATGCCCAGCTAATTTTGTATTTTTAGTAGAGACAGGGTTTCTCCATGTTGGTCAGTCTGGTCTTGAACCCCCGACCTCAGGTGATATGCCTGCCTCGGCCTCTCAAAGTGCTGGGATTACAGGTGTGAGCCCACCACACCCGGCGCATAGTTTCTTTCTTTTCTTTTCCTTCCTTCCTTCCTTCCTTCCTTCCTTCCTTCCTTCCTTCCTTCCTTCCTTCCTTCCTTCGTTCCTTCCTTCGTTCCTTCCTTCCTTCCTTCCTTCCCTCCCTCCCTCCCTCCCTCTCTCTCTCTCTCTTCTTTCTTTCTTTCTTTTTTTGAGACACAGTCTCACTCTGTCGCTTAGGCTGGAGTGCAATGGCACAATCTTGGCTCACTGCAACCTCTGCCTCCTGGGTTCATGCAATTCTCCTGCCTTAGCCTCCCGAGTAGCTGGGACTACAGGCGTGTCCCACCACACCTGGCTAATTTTTGTATTTTTGGTAGAGAGGGAGTTTCACCATATTGGTCAGGCTGGTCTTGAACTCCTGACCTGGTGATTCGCCCTCCTCAGCCTCCCAAAGTGCTGGAATTATAGGCGTGAGCCATCGCGCCCAGCCCCATATTTTCTTTCTTAAAAGAGAGAATTCACCAGCGTTCTTTAAGTAATAAAATAAATAATTTCAGGGCCAATTCCTGGGACTTTTCCAACCTTCTAAAGTAACTTGTGCACCCTTGCACCTTAACTTAAAGAAAATGTATTTTTGTGGAGAAAGATATAGAAAAAAATGCTTATTCTAAAATTAAGATTACATATAATTAAATTTTTCTAAAACAGTAAGTTTTATATGCATTTCGCTGGATTCTTTATCAAATTCTAGGTACCTTAGATTAGAGCAAAGCCAGGGCTGTAGGTATCTTTTTAATTTCTTGCCCCCATCCCTGTTCATAATTCCAGTATGGAGCCCTGTGAATAATGAATATTTAGTATGTATTTGCTGTTTGATTATTCCTTACCTTCACTATTATAATTCTGTTGGTTATTTGAGGGAATTTGTGAACATTTAAAAAGCATATATACAATGTTGCACATCTTATGTTGTGTTGCCATGAAAAGTGGTCTGATAGATCTGATGTTATGTTTATAAAGGTTTGCAAGACGAATCTCAGCAAATCTAAACCCAAATGCTTATGAAATAGGAACATCGGAGGTATTTTGTAAAATTCTCACTCTTGCATCTCCTATTGGTTGTGTGGTGGCCCTGACAGCTGGCATATTCCCAGCAGCCATGACTGCATAGCTAGGGGATCTGCCTCTGTGGGGCACTGAACGCACTGTTGGTTGGTTTCATTTCTAAACAGGGATAATTATGTTCCTCTCTCCCATTGGGTTGTTTTGAGGAATGACTAATTAATGGTTGGAGACAGCATTCTAAATGCAAATTAGTCAATAATGATCAGATTGAATGAACAAACTCCCATTGTTGAGCTCTGAATCTGGTGGTGATTTCTAACAGGTACTGAAAGAGGCCTTGTCGAAATAGCCCTGCTTAGAGGAGACAAGCCACTAAAGCTTATTTTAAAATATCCAACAAACACCGGATTGCAAAGTTGAAGGCTCATATCACTTTTTAAATCGAACTTTAAAGTTTCTTTAGAAATTTTTTTCCAGATTCTAAAAGTAAAATATGATTATTAAAAAATAAAAAGGAAAACAACATATAAAGAAGACAGTGGCACTCTGTCCTGCCACACTAGAGGGGTGGTATCATTTGGCATAAAGTTAATCTTGCTAGACTTTTGTGGAAAATATTTTAACCCTATAATTAATAGCAAACGATATGATAGACCCTTAGGCAATTTCAGGGCTCTATGAAATAACTATACCAGCCATATTTTCCCTTGACAGTAAACATCAAGTTATGTGATTTTGACCACTCTGATTTTCAACAGTCCAGAGTAGCACATTTGTCTTTGATTCCAGTAAACCTCCAATGACAGGGCAATTCATAGAAAAGAACAAGGAATCATTTCCACTTGGAATCCTGATATTCACCTATAGATGTCAAAATAAATCTCTTTGTTCCTTAAGGAAACAGGAAATAGTAACAACAACAAGTTTACGTAGCCAATACCACCTTCTACTTGAGAAGCAGCTATTTAGAAAGCCCCACATTCATTTTAAACTGATTTGACATGTCTCCACTGACATGAGAAGTCTCTTGTCAAATTTCTTCTGAGTGATTAGTTGAACATAAATTGTGTGTAGATAACACATGTATTCAAATATTAACCAAAGACCAGACGTTGTATTTTGGAGGATTTGATTCTGAACCTAAGACTTTGGGACATTACTAAGTGGGCAATCAATCAATGTTTTTGATGGGGAAAGGGTTCGAAAAAATCCGAGCTGCAGAAATGTGAGTCTCTGGGAAGAGTGTGTGATGAATTGGAGTGGGTAGGGACTATAGAAGGGGAATCAATTTGAAGGTTATTTTGGTTGTTCTGGGATAAACTGGGATGGTGGGTGGGTGGGTGGGTGGAATGCAGAGGAAGGATGGTGGGAGAGAGCCCAGGGGATAGCTACCACTGCAGGGAGGGGAAGAAGAGCAGGGGTAGGCGAGAGGAGGAGGAGAAGGAGGAGGAGGAAAAGGAGGAGGCAAGAGGAGGAGGAGGAGGAAAGAGAAGTATCATATGACACTTCCTTTGTCCTTTGAGTCTGTTTGCTCATGAAGAACAAAGATTATGGAACATGATTCTCAAATTTGTTCAGGTATGCTGTTCTTGATGACATGCCATGAACTTTTGATGTGTTTTATTTTATCCTGCAAATAAAAACATTCTACCAGCAAAAATGGATGCAAACTCAAGTTTCAAGTGGGAGCCCATGTGCCCATAAAAAAATAAAGTTGCTGAATTAAGTATGATTAGTCTGGCCCAGGCACAGTGGCTCACGCCTGTAATCCCAGCACTTGGGGAGGCTGAGGCAGGCAGATCACAAGGTCAGGTGATCGATACCAGCCTGGTCAATGTGGTGAAACCCCGTCTCTACTAAAAATACAAAAAAATTAGCCAGGCATGGTGGCACATGCCTGTAGTCCCAGCTACTGAGGAGGCTGAGGCAGGAGAATCGCTTGAATCCAGGAGGCGGAGGGTGCAGTGAGCTGAGATCGTGCCACTGCACTCCAGCCTGGGTGACACATCAAGACTCCGTCAAAAAAAAAAAAAAAAAAAAAAAAAAAAAAAAAGAATGATTAGCCTGTGGTTAGTGGTCAGTTTTCCTGTTAATACTTCTTTCTGGAACTTATGTTGCTATGTGCTGGATTTCTCTAGAAAAAAGATAGCAAACAGTGCTAAAAGTTCAAGAAAAATTCAGAGTAAAACGTAGAGAACAGTCCTCATTTTTTTTTTCCACAGCAGAATACACTGGTTTGGTTAGTTTCAGAACCAATTATAGTGATCATGTTTTCCTACAGGTAAATTTTTACTTGCCCAGTTGGATGGTGATCTTCTTGAGAACTCATGTCCTACTCTTTCTTGTTTTTTTTCTTTTTTTCCTATTTACTGCTTGCAACAATGGATCCAACAGCTGCATAACAAACACTGTTTGGGGTAAATCATGTGGCACTCCAGGTGTGCAGAGGTTTCTGTGTATGTCATTGGACATAGAACTGTGCCAAAAATCAAACCAAAGAGGATGGAAAACCTCTTCAATTAATTTATTATCTTTGATTTCAGGGGAGATATAGTGAACTCCTCAGACTAGAAAGACTATTGCGTTTTATTACAGCTGAAGCTCTAAGCTCATAAGAGACTGGATATTTGAGGAGTCATCATTACTTTCCTAGCATAGAGTAATTGCTAACTCAACAAAACAGAAATGCACTAGTTCAAATTTTGAAGGTTATCTTTTTCTAATGGAAGGTATGGAAACTTTGTTCTATTTTAGAGATGAAAGCTTAGAGTCTAGAGTATTATGATTATGGTGCTGAATGTGTATCCTGTACTCTATAATTGATGACTTTTTAAAAATGAATGGTATTATTCATCTCAAATACATTCCAGATTGCTAAAGAAAAAAAATTTCACATAGAATCAATTAAAAATCAGCTTAATTTTACAAGAAAAGGCACATGAATTCAAGAATATTGTTTATTCCAAACAGCTGTGAAATTCTGTTACTTTACCACTGTGATTGTAGAAGGTAGTGGAAATTATGTTACTGTATGGGTAAAGGCAACATATAGGTAAATAGAAAAATGCTATGCATAAATATGTGGGCAATTCTAAAATACCTTTTCTCGTGTAGTAAAATGCACGTGGAAATGAAAAACCCATGTTGGTTCTGGTTTTCTTTTTTTCCTTTTTTTTTTTGAGACAGAGTCTCCCTCTGTTGCCCGGCCTGGAGTGCAGTGGTGCAATCTCGGCTCACTGCAAGCTCCGCCTCCCAGGTTCACGCCATTCTCTTGCCTCAGCCTCCCAAGCAGCTGGGACCACAGGCGCCCGCCACCACGCCCGGCTAATTTTTTGTATGTTTAGTAGAGACGGGGTTTCACTGTGTTAGCCAGGATGGTCTCGATCTCCTGACCTCGTGATCCGCCTGCCTCGGCCTCCCAGAGTGCTGGGATTACAGGCGTGAGCCACCACGCCCGGCTGGTTCTGGTTTTCTAATATGGTATATTGAGCATTCTTCAGACATCTTTTCAGTCCTTTAACATATAACAGCTCCTTAATAGTGGTTACTGCTGGGGAGAGTAGTAGGTTTGGAGTAAGGGGGGAAGAAAAAAACTTCAGTTTTTGCTCCATATAATTTTATATTTTAAAAAGTAACATCTATATTTTAATATGTAATCATATTAAATAAATGAAATAAAAATCAGACTTGATGCCACTTCCAAATTCATACCTCCAGCTCAGATCTTTCACCCAACTCCAGACTTACCTTAATATTTCCATAAACATCTCAAACCCAACATGCCCAAAATGGAACTCCTGGCCTTTTCCCACAAATGTGCTCCATCTGTAACCTTTCCCATCTCTGTTGAACATTCCTTCCTTCCAAAAGGTCTAGAACCTTGAAGTCATCTTCAGCTCCTCTCTTTCTCTCACACTGCAATCCAATCTTTCAGCAAATTGTATTGGTTCCACCTTGAACATATACTCAGAATCTGTCATCTCACTATCGCAGAGATAGGGAGCTATCTCCACTGCCCCTGCCTCTTCAGAACCCGCATCGTGGTTTTCCGGGGTCACTCCAGCAGCTTCCCACAGGTCTCCCGGTGTCTGCACTTGCTCCCTGCAGTCTGTTGTAACACAAAGGCAGAAAAATCTTATTAAAAGACAAGCCAAGTCAAGCCATGTCTCTCCTCTTGTCACAGAGGAGTGACAAGCCATGTCACTCCTCTGCTCAAAACCCCTCATTCACTCCCTGCTCTTCTCAGAATAAAAGCCTACGTCCTTCAATGGCAGCTAAGGTCTTCCATGACCTGCTCTCATTTCCTCCTTGGTCTCATTTCCTATTACTTTCACCTGTGGACTCATCTCTAGCTGCATTTGTCTCCTTTGTTTCCTCAAACACATAGGCATGTCCCCAGCCTCAGTAGCCTCTACCTGCCTGGAATGTTCTTCCTCCAGGTATCTGAGGCACTGTCTCCTTCACCTCTTTCAAGCTTTTGCTCAGGTATCTTCTCAATGAGCTGATGACTCTACCTAAAACTTCGTAGTGCCCTGCACACCTCCCTCCTCACAGCACTCTTGATGCCCTTACCCGGCTTCACTTGTGCTCTTTCTCCACACCATTCTCCTTTGTATATACCTTGTAATTGACACATTTGTTGTGTTTATTGTCTTTTTCTCCCTACTAGAATGGGAGTTCCACAAGGGCAGGGAGCTGTCTGTTGTTCACTGATGAAAGCAAAGTGCCTTGAATAGTGGCTACTTCAAGAAATATTTATTGAATGAAAATTTAAAAACAGCCTAGAAGTGTTTCCACTATTTCTCATATGAGAATGCCAATGTCATGAGGACCAGTTCCATGAGTATTTTGTTAATTACTTTATATCCAATGCCCAGCAAAGTATCTGCCATTAGTAGGCACTTAATAAATGTTTGTGAAATGAATAAATGAGGATGTATTTTTTATCCAGATGTTTAGCCCATCTTTTTAGTATAAATGGTGGGTTTATTTATTTATTTATTTTTTTGAGATGGAGTTTCTCTCTTGTCGCCCAGGCTGGAGTACAACGACACGAATTCTGCTCACTGCAACCTCCGCCTCCCAGGTTCAAGCGCTTCTCCTACCTCAGCCTCCCAAGTAGCTGGCATTATAGTCACCCACAACCACACCTGGCTAATTTTTGTATTTTTAGTGGAGATGGGGGTTTCACCATGTTGGCCCGGCTGGTGTCAAACTCCTGACCTCAGATGATCTGCCCGCTTTGGCCTCCCAAAGTACTAGGATTACAAGTGTGAGCCACCACACCCGGCAATACAAGTGATATTTATTGAATAATTTTTTTTAATCTCAGCATTTTTCCTCTGGCGGTGTGGGTTTTACAGCATTCTGGAAAGCTAAAGACAGGCGTTATTCAGGGACCTCTGAGTATCAACTTTGCATTCTGTCTGCACCGTGGAATGCTTCATCTGCATTCTGTGTGGTTACCTCTCTTCTGAGTTTCTGTATCCTTAGCTACTTAAATCAGAAACTTAGAGTGGGGATGTGAGTGGCCTCTTGTAGCCAATCCATCTGAAACACGGCCTCTCATCTCTTTTCTTTTCTTTCTTCTTTTTTTTTGCTGACCTCAAGGAGATTTAGACTAGACTACTGCACGTTAAATAGCAATATAATATTTGAATGGATAGAGGCAGAAATAAATTGATTCCTTCTACCTCCTGTTGACTACTCCATAATATCATTACGTTATAGGCATTGGACTGGGCACTCACATGGTGAGTGATAAATGCATTGAACACTCCTTAAGATAGCAGTAAGCAATAATAATGAAAGGATGGACACAGTAAATGTTCTTTGATGATGGTCTAGGTGGTGGCAATATCATTCTTGCGGCTTATAAGATGCCTCAGGGTTCTTGACCTTGAATGCCCTTCTAGGATAGGAGGGTTTTGGTGATGATTAAATTATAAAGGTCCTTTAGTGGAATTTGACTGACTACATTCCAACAGCAGAGTAATAGTATATAAGAGCTACGGATGTTCAGATCCACTGTTAAGGTGGTATCTCAGAGCACATTCTGATATGTTTTAATATTTCTGTGAGAGAAAAATGGAAGTAAATTGAGAATCGAGTATACTTCCTCTTCCCATACCTAGTAGTTTGGAGATGACTTGTGTTCTTGCTCATCCTGTTTTTTCTCACAGGTACATAATTAGATTAAATTAGAAACATAACAATGAGTTGTGTAAAGGATACTCATAGGACTCAGCTTCTACTAGAGCTCATGGCATTCTATCAGACCATCTAATCCTGCCTTTAGGAACATAAGATCTGTTTGCGTGCTGACAGGGCTACTTTCCTTAGCATAGCATCATCTTGTTATAAGAAGACGAAAGTAAAAGGTAAGTTGTATACACGTTTCCATTTCCTCAAAGTGAAAAACCAGGTGGTTGTATTTCTTGGGCTTCCCTTCTCCAAGCCCTTGTAGAAAGAGTTTGTTTTTACATTTGTTGTTAGAGTAAGACAGCCAGGATTGTTCCTTGCTAACTTCATTAATAACTAACAAAATTACATATGAATTTACCTTTTGACCCAGCAATTCAGTTTCCAGGAATCCACCTAACGCACACTTCCAATAATAAAAAAATGCATTTGCACCAACTTATTAACTGCAGCATTGTTTGTAACTGAAAAATGCTGGAAAAAATCTAAATGCCCCTACACAGGAGAGTGGTTGAATAAACTATAGCACATCCATAAAGTGTAGTACTGTGCAGCTGCAAAAGGGAACAAGAAAGATGTTTACGAATTGATATGGAGTGATTTCCAGGGTATACTGATGGGTGGAAAAAGTATAAAATAAAACCTATGTCAATAAACATGTGAAAAGATGCTCAACATTATTAATCATTAGGTAAATGCAAATCAAAATGACAATGCGATACCACATCCACCCACTAGGATGGCTATAAACAAACAAACGAAACAGAAAATAACAAGTCTTAGTGAGAATGTGGAGAAACTGGAATCCTGTACATTGCTGGTAAAATTGTAAAATGGTACAGTTACTGTGGAAAATGGTTTGGTGGCTCCTCAGAAAGTTAAATAGAATTATCCTATGACCCCAGCAATTCTACTCCTAGGTATATACCCCAAAATATTGAAGACAGATATTCAAAGATGCATATATAATGTTCATAACAGCACTATTCACAATAGCCAGAAGGTGGAAACAGCCCAAATGTCCATCAGCTGATAGAAAGATAAACAAAATGTAGTATATCCATTCAGTGGAATATTATTCAGCCATAAAAAGGAATGAAGTACTTACACATGCTATAATGTGAATGAACCTTGGAAACATTATGTTAAATGAAAGAAACCAAATATAAAAAGGTCACATATTATTATGATTCCATCTATATGAAATTACCCAGATAGGTGAATCCATAGAGACAGAAAACAGACTAGTCATCGCCAGGGCTATAGGTAGGGAGAAATGAGGAGTAACTACTTGATGAATATGGGGGATTCTTTTGAGACATTTTTGAGAAAATTTTGTGGAACTAGAGAGACATGGTGGTTGGAGAACATTGTGAATGTGCTAAATGCTACCAAATTATGCACTTTATTATTTTATTTATTTATTTTTTTGAGACGGAGTCTCCCTCTGTTACCCAGGCTGGAGTGCAGTAGTGCAATCTCGGTTCACTGCAACCTCCGCCTCCTGGTTTTAAGCGATTCTTGTGTCTCAGCCTTCCAAGTAGCTGGAACTACAGGTGCGTGCCACTATGGCTGGCTAATTTTTTGTATTTTTAGTAAAGACAGGGTTTCACCATGTTGTCCAAGCTGGTCTCGAACTCCTGGCCTCAAGTGATTTGCCTGCCTTGGCTTCCCAAAGTGCTGGGATTATAGACATGAGCCACCATGCCCAGCCTGAATTGTACACTTCAAAATGGTTAATTTTATCTTATGCAAACTGAACCTCAAAAGAGAGAGAGAATATCGATAGTGTACTACCTTTCATGGAAGAATAAAAGGGGAGATAAAATATGCATGTATCTGCTCACTTATGGAAAATAACTGTTTACAAAAATAGGTGCAGTGAGATTTGGTTATTCAGAGTTTGAGAATGAGATGGAAAGAAGAAGTGGAATGGGGTAGTGGTTGTGGGGTGACATGGACTAGATAAACTTCTTGTATATCTCTGACTCTTAGAACCAGGGAATGAACCACAAAGTGCCCCCTACCCTGTCCAAATAATTAAAATCTACAGGATATGGGAGGAGCCCAATTAGAATGCAAAGGGTAACAAGTGGATCTAACTGTACTACAAATGAATATCATAACCATACTTAAAGAGTTGGGGAAGAACCAACTAAGTTTGGAAAACAGTATTTTGACCGTACAATATAAAGCTAAAGACATAAAGAACTGTACAAAAATATATACTCTAGTTGGTAAATTTGTTTCCACAGACAGAGGCATGGGTTAGCAACTCTGAGACTACTTTATGTATGTATTAGGATTGAGCAAATAAGTAAAGTGTTCTTTAGAGAAATAATCAATTCCAGGAAATATATAAGATGAGCCTGAACGTTTTGTGGTGCCAGAAACTAAGGAAGTACTAAAAAATGATGGAGTATGTGAAAATGACACAGGAGCCATATCGAAGGAGGTCCCAGTGAAATTTGGGACAAGGTATGCTAAAGAATGGATAATCATAGTAATGGATTATAACCCATAAAACACAATAAATGTTCCTGAGTCCATACTGATATAAACAAGTAAATGAATAAGTAAATAAATTAATGAAGCGAAGGGCCAGCTCTTCTTTAATAAATATAGAAGGAATAGAACATCCTGGCTAACACGGTGAAACCCCGTCTCTACTAAAAAAAATACAAAAAATTAGCTGGGCGTGGTGGCGGGCGCCTGTAGTCCCAGCTACTCGGGAGGCTGAGGCAGGAGAAAGGCGTGAACCAGGAGGCGGAGCTTGCAGTGAGCTGAGATCACCCACTGCACTCCAGCCTGGGCAACAGAGCGAGACTCTGTCTCAAAAAAAAAAATAAAATAAAATAAAAATAAAAATAAATAAATAAATATAGAAGGCAGGATGGAAATGGAAAGTCACCATTAGCAAAGACAGGAATCAATATACACTAATAGTACTGAGAGAAGTTGTGTTAAGAAACAGGGCATTTGCATGATCTCAAAGTATCTCCCCATAAGATACTTTTAGTTACAAAGGGAAAAGCAGTAGCCTTATAGAGATGAAACCTGTCAACTACCACAGAATCAAGTGACCAAAGTTAACTTCACCAGTAATGCCATATTGACGTCAGGGATTCTTAACATGATGCACCGAGAAGGGCACAACATCACTTCTGTGATAGTCTTGCCCAAAATGCATAACCTCAATCTCATCATAAGGAAACATCAGACAAGTGTACATTGAGAGACTTTCTACAAAATAATTGATTAGTACTCTTCAAAAGTGTCAAGGTAGTGAAAGACAGATTGAGAAACTGTCACAGATTGGAGAAGACTAAGGAGACATGACAGTTGGACCTTAGACCAGTTAGGACATTAGGGGACAACTGTAACATTTGGATGAGGTCTGCAGATTAGTTAATAGAATTATCTCAATACTAACTTCCTGGTTTTGATCATTGTATGGTGGTTAGGGAGGATGTTAATATTAGAGGAAGCTGGACAACAGGTATATGGGATCTCTGTATTGCTCTGCAACTTCTAAAATTTTTCAAAATAAAAAATTAAAAACATAAAAAAGCCTTTTTCACTTAAACTTTTTTTGTTTATTTTACTTATTTTGATTTTTAACTGGGCCCAGATTTTAAAAATATGTTTAGAGTGACATCATTTACTTTTCCTTTCAGAACACTTTAATGGGATTAAGGAAGGAAATGGAGAACATTGAGTTGCCCCTGGCCCTTTCCCTTCCTAGAGACAAGATTCAATCCCAACAGGGAAATGGTGGGGCAGTAGGTGGTGGAGGATTCAGGGTGGATCCAGCGGGATGGAATTTTCTGGGAAAGTGTTGTCACTCCTATGCCTGAACGACAGAGGGGAGGGAGAAGTTACTGGAACTCAGAGAGATTAGCTGAATGAAAAGAATACTGGACAGTATTCATGGCTTTCAGGGGCAGGATGCAAGCAACCCACAGCAACCAAGCAGCTGGAGCAGGTAAATAAATCGTCTAATTTTACTTCCTTTCTGCCTTCTGAGCTCTTGCCAGGGCCTCCCATTGACTGAACCCAATCAGAAGCCACAGGGGGAGGGAGCCCATTGATACAGTTTAAACATATCTACTTCTAGTGCCCAGAGCAGGGTGGAGAAGACTGGAGAGTACATCTGGAGAAATAAAGGTAAGGTATCCAGCGTGAAGATGATCTACTCCACCCCTCTCATTTTGTAGATGAAAAAATCCTCAAAGAAGTGAAAAGATTTATTCAAGGACACAATAAAAGGCAGTTTGGTAGAGTTGAAACCCATTAATCTGCAAGTTGGAAGACAGGTTCTAGTCTTGGATGGGCCACTGCCCTGGGCTTTAGTTTCTGTATCTATGAATGAATGGAGGCAGACTAAAGCAACGGTCTTCAAACTGGGGTATCCATACACCTGGGTTTACTTAGGAATTTGTAGGAGGTATAGGGTATGGATAATTTTAAGTGAATTATTTTCCAGACCCACAGCTTCCTTACTTATATTGTCTTCTAAAATTAATCTGCTTTTCCCTTTCATAATCATCCTTCTCCCACTTGACACAAGAAAAGCATGCCTTTCATTTATCATACATATGACTATAGTGCATTACCCCAAGGTGTGAAAATTTTGAGACACCAAACAAAGGGGCATTTTGAAAATGCATAGCTTTTGAGACAGATTCCTCTTACAGTACACCAGACAGCTTCAATTAAGAAATACTGAAAGGGGCAGCATTTACTCATGGCAAGTATGCATCGGTACATAGTCTTTCTGAGAAGGGTTTGTATCTCGCAAATGAATGTTTCACATTTCAAACATAAGGTTGGAAGTGGGTCTTTGTTCATTTAGGAGGAAAGAAGATTCTAATCTGATTCAGATGATGAGCAGCTTCTAGGAACTGGTTGTGCCACATGCCAGGCTGACTGGCACAACCAGGAGTGATGATATGTAATTATCTCTACCTCTCATACACATGATTTTATTCTTGTATAGTGCTCTGTCTTCACAGAAAAACCAGTTCACAATGCACTAGATGGAGCCAGGAGTTTCCAAGACCAGTTGTCACTTCCCTTTGAATATGTTTAAACTAGGACACAGCAATTGCCACACTGGGTCAGGCTTATGTATCACTCGTCCCACTCTGTTGTCTATTCGGAGAGCAGCAGTGGTCTCCTTGGTGCTCACCTTAAGGTTAATAATTTTCAAGTTTCTTTTACTTGCCAATTATGACTCTGCCTTCCTTACATTTCTCTATAATTGTCCCTCCAATTCTTGAAAATACTATTATTTTGTTAAAATGACAACATGCTCACTAAAAATGCAAACAAATTAGGGAGTATAAAAAGGAAGGACAAAAACATCCCAAATTCGACCAATCAACAATAACTGTTAACATTTGGTGACTGTCTTTCTATGCCTAGACACATTCTCTGCCTAGATACACATGTATATTAATTCCATAAATAAGACCATACCACACATGCTGTGCAATAACCTGCCCTTTCCCTCAACAATGTGTAATCCGTATGCAGCATATCATATATGTTTTATTTATGTGCTCAACACTCCTTTATTGAAATCCATTTGGATTACTTCCAATTTTCCACTCTCTCTATGCCATGATGAACATCCTTGTGCATATTTCTTGTCATACTCTGAAAATATCTGTTTGAAGTTATGAATTATATTATTTTTGGATCATAGGCTCCTTCAATAATCTAATGACAGCTGTAGATCACCTCCCTTCCAAAACACATGTCTTTGTATAACTCATTTTGTCTTTGATGTTTGTTTTTGTGGTTCATAAATATGCCCCCTAAAATTCATCCTTGGACTTGCTAAAGATCCATGAGCCCTAAATTAAGAACTGCTACTTTAGGGTTAACTCCAAGACATGTAAATTTTAAATAACCTTTAAAGTAGTTTATGTTAATTTATCACTTGTGTGAACACTCATGTGTCCCTCTGCCTCTTTTAGTTGGTGGGTTCACCCTCCAGTCTGTGCCCAACTCTGGAGGTTTGGTGATATAATAAGTAATCAGATTATATAAATTTCCATTGACTACCACAGGGGCTGAAGGGATTTTGAACACAAAGCAATGCATTCAACCTTACTTCATAGCCCTTAAGAAAGTTTCATAAGTCAAAAAGTTTTATGAGGCCAAAAGTTTCATAAGGTGAAAAAAATGAAAAAATGTATTTGAGTCTTTGCTTCCTTCATTCAACAAAAAGATACTGAGTAACAGCTTTGTGCCAGTCCTGATTCTAGGAGCTGGGGATACGCAGATGAAGACTAGGTTCTGCTTTCAGGGAATTCCAGGTCTAGGTGGGCGAACAGACATATACACAAACCATTGTCAGGCAGGCAGAGATTATAGTTGGCTATAATGAGCAGCATTAAGATAAAAGTATGAAACCGCATTGTGTACTCAGGTCATCCTCCGTGAGGTTTATTAGCAAACATGCTTCCTTCACACGGCTCATTCTTCATCCCCACCCATCTGAATCTTCTTTCCTTCTCTCCATCCAATATTTATTTCACTTCTCAGGGAGACTTAATCTAATTTGAAACTCAGTAATTTCTAGGGTGGCTGAAGTGAATCAAGGAAGCTAAAGAATGTAAAAAGTACTCAGGACACATGTGGCAAGGCTACTGGATGACAACATTCACTTTGCAGATTTGCAAATACAGATGGCCTAGTAATTGAGTTACTCCAGCAGATGAAAAATAGAAGAAACTTCAAGTCAAACTTACACGTGTAGATAAGTAGATTGCTTGCTATCCAGTGGAGTGTATAATTATTATAACCACAAAGCAATAGGCTATCTAAGAAGCTTATTTTTGTGGTTATTATTATTATTATTTGCCAAAGGTACTTTATACCTTTCGGCTCAGACTTACTCAATAGTTGAGTGCCCTTAGAAATAAGCCATTTTATTTGTTTCCATCACAGCCCAGGGATCTCTTCAGTAGCTTGATTTTCTTTTTTAATTTCTTTATTGAGTTTTTCGGTTCTAGCATTTCTATTTTTTTAAATAATTATTTATTGATGCATAATAGATGCGCATAGTTTCAGGGTATAGGTAATAATTTAATACATTCATATAATTTGAGTCAAAGATCAAATTAGTGTAGTTGAGATATTCATCACCTTAAATATTTGTCTTTTCTTTATGCTAGAAAGAATTTCCTTTTGAAATAGGTGAATCTAGCCTATTTGCTGTGAGTTTGATGCCATTTGGTCCTCTGCCTATATCCATTCCTCTCATTTTTTCACATGTTTTTATTTTTCTTCTTCCCTTGCTGACCACCATCTTCTCTTTTTCTAAGCTTCTCACATTCAAATTGTCATTCACTGGTAAATTCTAGGTCTTCACATTTGCAACTTTCTTCAGTCACTGCTTACTTGTCTCTATGAACCAGGCCCTGGGGTTCCGAGGACACAGCAGGAAACCATCCCTCAGTTAAGGTCTTTTCCTGTATCTGGGAATGAGAGGAAGGAGGTGAGGGTAACTATTTCTCCCAAATTCTTATTTCTTAAGGACGGTACTCACGCAACTATTTTAGTTATGTTGATTTCCCTTAGAATTTTGATTCATGGTTATTTTCAATAAATATTGATTTTTTTTAAAGAAAATGTTTGGGGTGTGTGCACTTTACATTCAAAATGAAAGTATCTGTTGATGCATAAAATGTGTTTTTAATACATGTATTAATTATTTACAAATATGAGTCATAGGCACCTGAAATCAAGCATTCAAGTCTATCAAGAACAGAATCCATGGTATTTAAATAGTACAAAGGAGGATGGCGGTAACATCTGTCAGCATCCCCGCTACACTTCTGGGTTAGACAGTTTTTTTCTAAGGATTCTTCATGATACAAATAAAAACATTTAAAAATCTCTACAATATTTCTTGCACATTCAGTGCCGACAAAAATGTTTTATGTTAACATCTCATATTACTTAATTTGTTTTTGATGTAAAATGTAACTTATTTCCCTTAACTTTTTATATTTCATTGATGTATTGTGTTTTTCAAATCTAGTTCACACTTACAGCCAGAGATTCTCTTTTAGGTTTGAATAGTGTTTTATGCTATGTTTTCATAATTAGTATAACTTCTGTTTTCTCATTAGTCAAAGGGGGATCACAGTAAGGTTGTCACAGGATCATAGGGTTGTCATGAGGTTAAATGAATCAATACATATAATGGTATAATGACAGCAACAACAACTAACATTACTTGCATACTTCCACAGGCTAGGCACTATGTCATGTGTTTTACGTGTATTAACTCATGTACTTTTCCCTACAACTCTATATGGTAAGTACTATTATTATTATACTTTTTCTCTGTACTGTTGAGGAAACTGAGGGCACAGAGCATTTGAGTAACGTTCCTAGGTTACAACAGGTAGCAAATGGCAAAGCTGGGATTAAAATTCAGGCAGATGGATTTCAGAGCCTGAACTCATCCACTGTGCTCTACTGCCTCTCGGGTAAGATAATACTTAAAAGAGCCAGGCTGTGGATAAGTAGGAATTTTTATACAAATTGAAAAGTAAAACCTGGAGAATATGAAATGAATTCTTTTTATCTTGCTAATGCTCAGTACAGTCTGGCTAAGGCACCTCTAGTACTTAATGGCTGCTATTTTAATAAATTTTTCAGGTCTCTTTCTTCCCTCTTTTCCTGAATGTTCTTAAACATCTGACTTCAGGTGGAATACCAGTGGAATGAACGTGAGGATTTTAATCAGAAAGGGTTCTACTCTTTACCAGCTGTGTGGCCTTGTGCAAGTCACATGCCTATCTGAACCCTTATTTTCTTATCTGTTCAGATGGCAATAATACCTAACTTCAGCTTCTACAAGAGGAGGCATGAAATAGCTAAATATTAAAACACAGAGGAAGGCAATCAGGAAACTTAGACTATGAATACAGAATATGACCCTCACTGACTGGGACCAAGAACATTGCCTTAGATGCCTCCAAGGCTCAGGGTTCCACCAATTCTCAATGAGGATGGAAATTAATGTCATATCGAAAACTGTATATTTTCCTCAATCCTTAATCCATGTAATAATTCCTATCAGATCTTGTACTTTTTTTTTTTTTTTTTTGAGATGGAGTCTCGCTCTGTCACCCAGGCTAGAGTGCAGTGGCATGATCTTGGCTCACTGCAACCTCTGCTTCCTGGGTTCAAGTGATTCTTCTGCCTCACCCTCCCGAGGAGCTGGGATTATAGGCACACACCACCATGCCTGGCTAATTTTTGTATTTTCAGTAGAGACAGGGTTTCATCATGTTGGCCAGGCTGGTCCTGACCTCAGGTGATCCACCCGCCTCGGCCTCCCAAAGTGCTGGGATTACAGGTGTGAGCCACTGCGCCCGGCCAGATCTTGTAATTTTTATCAAGTCAAAACATGAAGAACTCTTTAAGGTAATTTTATAGATATTTAGAATTTGTACTTTTAGTAACAACTCTGGTGTACAAATAATATGAACAAAAATATAGAAAATGCAATTAGGTTAGTCAGTATATGGGAAAATGCTAGGTCTCTGTAGAAATCAAAGAAATGCAGAACGAAAACCATATGTTTCATATATGAAAATATTCAGTGCTGGTGAGATTCATATTTATTTTTGATGGGTGTGTAAACTGAAGAAAAACCTGTTGGAAGGCAATTTTAAATATGTAACAAGAACCTAAAATATGTTCATTTACTTTAAGATAATTTCAGTTTCTGAAATCTAGCTTCAAGAAATAACATGAACTACCAAATGAGCTTTTAGTATGAAGTCTTCATTGTGGCATTATTTATAATAAGAAATCGGAAGCAACTCAAATGCCCTACGAACTGGGAATAGTTAAGTAAACAAGGTGTTTCTCACATAATAGATTACTGTGATTAGGCTTATAAACAATTCATAATGGGATGGCAAAATATGTGTAATATAATTTAAGAGAAAAGCAGGATAGTTAATATAGTACGATCACAATTAAGTCAAAAATAGTTGTACAAATACAAACATTTGAAAAAATACATCAGAATGTTACTAATGGTTATTGGTGAGGTGATGATTAAGGGTGATTTATTTTGTTTTCTATTTTTCTATATTTTTCTAATTTTTTGTAATGAGCATGTATTATTTTACAATATTAAAAAACAAAGCAAATGATATGAATAAAGATTTTGTTGGTAGGGTGGGCAGTAGTATCTGTTCTAGCATGATATCTTAACAAGGCACACCATTCCACAGGCTTTCTGTGAGAATTAAATGTTCGACTATGTGTAGCAGCAGCCAATATATATTGCATGTATTAAGAAACTGTTATAGAAAATTTAAACTTTACAGCCTTACATAAAAGATAGTAAAGTGTTTTGTGAAACTTTTTTTCTTACGTTTCCAGAGAATTTATAGTTAAGAATTTCCTTAATTAGCTAGCTTTCCTATATATTTGAAATTTCATTTATGTAACATGCAACTTTTCAGGACTTCTTTTGTAATCAATTATCATTATTATTATTATTATTTTTAAAGTTTTCACCCCTTGTTCAGTGGTGAAATGTAGAGTCCTGGTTTACACCTGTTGTCCTGGTGTAATTATTTAATAGCGCCTCCTTTTTCTCTCCTTTTTCTCCCGGACAATAGTTACATGGTCACCCTAGCAATATCAGATATGGGGGGAAAGGGAGAACAAATCATATCTTCTGGATGCTGACTCTGGAGTGGGGGTGAAGGGGGGCGGGGTGGGGACAGCTGGCTCCTGACAACCAGCATGCAGAGAGAAAGAACTGCAGCTGCACCAGAAGCACCCTAGTTGCCTATAAACACTGGCCCACGGCTGTATTACTTAGTCTAATCAGTCATATATCTATTACTTGAAAGTGATTCTGACAGCATTGGCTCTATCTGAAGGTGGAAAAGAAAATCTATCTAATTTATTTAAGATACCACAGACACACCTGCCCCAGGTGTTCTTTTCCACCAGCCCACTCTGGAGCTCTGCATTTTTACCCATAGCGTTATTATAATTAAATGTGATCAAAATAATTAAAATTCTATCTGGAGAGAAATAGCCCCAAAAGTACAGAGGCAATAACACTATTAAGAAGTTAGAAGGATCCTCATTTTGACTCTGCTCTTCCTAGCTGGATGACCCTGGGCAAAGTATGTAACTTCTCAGTCTTTTCAGCAGCAAAAGGAGGAAAATAAAACCTGTTCTGACTATATCATGGGAGTTGGAGTATGAATAAAATGGTTACTGTAAGTGAAAATGCTCTGTAAATACAAAAGCACTCTGCAAATATCAGAGACTATTAGTATTATGAAGTTACTAAAATAAAAAAGCACATTAGCTGAGCTAACAGCCTTGAAACACAATGAGCAACTCCTGGGGGAAAAGACACACAGCTGACCAGACACACAGCCCAGAGTAAGTCTTTGGGAGGGGTGGAAGTGGGAAAGCTGCTAAACATGGTGCAAAAGGCTTCTAGCCCCAGGGAAGGAAATGACAGAAATCTTGCTTTGACAAGTTTTTTTCAGAGCTGGCTTTGCTAGGAAACTAAGGGCTAAAATGAATTTTTGATACCCTTGGTTACTGTTCTCCCAATCCACTCCCCTCCAATTCTAGAAAATAAACTCCATGTGGGTGAGGAGTTTTGTCCCCTTTCTTTACTGCTAAATTCCCAGCACTTAGAACATTTCCTGGCACAAAGTATCAGGATAATTCATATTGCATAAGTAAATATAATTTGCCTGTGTCACCTGTGTTCTCCATTCATGCCTGTAATTTAAAGTTGGACAAGTGTTGTTATTGCAGTTCTGGAGCTACTTAAAAGGAGACTTAGACCAAGTTTTGGATACAAGGCCTTGATCTAGGTCACAGAATGATAGCTCTCACTTGTAACTGCTATTTCCACCACTAACTTTAATTCTTTGGTCATATTCTGTTGAGAAAACTTAAGAGCACCATTTCACAAGGGACCTGGCAAAGACATAGCAGATGCTTGGCAGACATGTCCACTCAGCATGCAGGACACCTCTGGAAAAGCTGCAAGAAGAAACCACGCTTCAGAGTAGCCCACTGCAGGAAGAAAGGGGAGGGATTTTTTTCTCCTTGGTACCCTCTCATATCCCATGGGCCAAATTTCACCCCCTAAAAAGATAATTTCCTATATTTCCAGCCCTTGGCAGACACTCAGGAAGCCAATCCTGCCCCCTGCCCCACTTGCTCCATAGTGTGGCATTTCATCTAAACCTAGAAAAAGAGTGACAACTCAATGCTGATAGGGCTCAGCATGTCAGGACTAATGGCCATGCAGGCTCAGGGTTCCAATCGAACTCTGGCCAGCCCTGGGAGCTCAGTAAAGGCAGTGGTTGTGGTAGGGGTGCAATAGGGGTGTGGAGATTACTTTCAGAAAAAAAAGAGGCAGTAGAGAAAATCTGAGGAGGTGCACAAAGATTGCATCCAATACACTTGTTTTGCAAAACTGAATCGTATTTTCCTGTCCTATTTGCTTATTTGTTAAAAGCTCCATTTTTTTAATGTTAGTATTTTGAGATCAAACTTATCCTTTTTAACAAATGCCTAAGACTCAAGAGAATGGATATGCTATAATTTATTTTGCCATTTCCCTATTGATGGACATTCAGGTTGTCTCCCAAGTTTTACATTATTGTACGAGTCTTTGGGGAGGACAGCTTTAACGTACAAGAATAATTTGAAAAGAAAGATCTTATTTTTAAAATCAGTCACCATGCCTGTCTGGAGCTTTACTGATCTGATAGTTGTGACTGCATTAACGATGGCCCATTGCACTTTGCCCTGGCTCTGGCAGTTGAGCTTATGCCCCTGACTGGGATCTGCTAGCTTTTCAAATGGAGGTCTGTGACATTGATAAGGTATGCTTCTCTCCCAGGAGGCTCTGAACCCTGAGAGGAGATTGTTTTTTATTTTTGCATATTACCAAAGCTTTTCCATTTGAGTTACTTTGTTAGTGAATAAGTGTCTTGAATGGATAGAGAAATAGAATTCTATGGATCAGACTTTGCCCAGCCTGGTTTTGTGAGCCCTATCGTGGAGGCAGATGAAATTAGTCAGGCAATGGCTAAAAGGTGAGACCTTGGGAAGACAGGTCACACTGCATTCCCTGACAAGGGGTTTCAAGTGTTCATTGATAAGAAAACCACCACCACATGGGAAATTTTACATGTCTTCCACATCAAAAGCACCTCAGTTTTCAGGCTTGTTTTGGAGGAAAAACTTTTGTCTTTTGTTTTTAATCTTGTTAACGCTTTGACATCTTGACAGTTTTGAACTTAATGATCCCTTATGGGAAGGAACAGGAATTCCATCTGCTTTTTCTATTTTCTAGGCAGCAATTCCTTCTCTGTCTCCAACTCACTGCTAAGCCTCTGAAGATCACTCTGGTACCCTTCCCACAGTTACCCTAAAATATTTAACTATAGCATTTCTGAAATCTGCAAATTTTCCTGACTTTAATGAACCCTGTTACTTTATTTTAAAAGTCAACTAACCCCTTGAGATAGTAATTGTATTACAGAATACAAAATATTCTTTCTTCTAGTACCCTTTTGATTTATTTATCAAAGAAGCTTAATAACATAGACTTTGCTATAAAACAGAAGGCAAATTCTGCATGAAACTGTTTAAAAATTGATCAGACCAAATAGACAGGACAAAATTCTATGTAATCCAGCCCTGAAAGGTGCTTGACTAGTAATGTTGAGTGAACCAAAGAGTGCTTCCAGACTCTTAAAAAAAAATCTAATCTGACCACTAAATTTAGAACCAGAACAATATGTTTCTATTTTACATGATATTATTTAATGTTTTTGATGTAAACATGTTACACTGTTGATTATTTATCACATAGTCAATAATTCCAGGTAAACAAACAGCAATATCTATCTTTTAGTTATGATATCCTAATAATGGAATATATTTTGTGATTTTTAGTGGTAAAATAATTTTGTAAATTATAAACAGTACCTCCTAGATTCAGTGACTGTCTACAATTGAGAAAGACCTAGAACTTGCCTATTCTTGGAATCTACACTTGGGTTCATTTCTCTTTAAAATGATGCACGTTTCTTTATTAATCAAAGTTGTATAAAACCACCTATCACACTTCTGGTCGGCATTGAGTTCATATTACATCAACTCAAAGCTAGAAAACATAACATTTCAGTTTGCTTGTGCAGTTTTATTAAGGATGGATGTACAATTGCTACGTGATATCTTTTTGAAATGTTGAAAATAGTTCAATGAGCTCCATAACTACTTTAAGAGTCCTCAAGGACCCAGAGATCTCCAGGTTGGGAGCTACTTCCTTAGCTAAGGGTTGACATGGATTCTCAGATGGCACTAGTGTTGTGATACTTGTACCTTGCCTAATAGTAGTGGCTGTTGATACCTCATCTTCTCAAAGTGACCTAAAAAAGGTAATTTAATAACTATTATTCAGTTTCTGAGTCAATGGCAAAAAACAAGAGAGAGTGATAAGAGGGAGGTTGAGTATTTATTTCCAAGGTTCCTCCCTTGCTGTGTCACCACCACAGGCTGGCTGCACCTTCTGGCTGAAGGTGACAGCTCCTATCAGGCAACCCTCTCCATATACTTCTTTGTTTCCTGGCTCAAGTAACTGCTCCCTTCCTTAAATACATTTTTTAATTTATATATATATGACAGAACTAATGGACTATATATATAAATATATATATATATATTTATAGATAAAGGGGAGTTTATTGAGTATTAACTCACACAATCACAAGGTCCCACAATAGGCCATCTGCAGGCTGAGGAGCAAGGAGAGCCAGTCCAAGTTCCAAAACTGAAGAACCTGGACTCTGATGTTTGAGGACAGGAAGCATCCAGCATGGGAGAAAGATGTAGGCTGGGAGGCTAGGCCAGTCTCTCTTTTCACATTTTTCTGTCTGCGTATATTCTGGTCTTGCTGGCAGCTGATTAGATGGTGCCCACCCAGATTAAGGGTGAGTCTGCCTTGCCGAGTCCACTGACTCAAATGTTAATCTCCTTTGGCAAAACCCTCACAGACACACCCAGGGTCAATACTTTGTATCCTTCAATCCAATCAAGTTAACAGTATTAACCATCACGGGGCATCAAAGGGAGTAAATTGGAAAGACAGAAAGCGAGATGTCTGGGAATAGAATGATGAAACTAAGATAACTAAGTTATTGATAATGACACAATCTAGAGCATGACCATAGGGTGAGTGACTGAGGTATGGTGGAGAACAAGGTTATTTGAGCAAAGAAGTTAAAAAAAAACTGACAAACTATGGTGTTGGAAGGATCACCTACCTTAGTTGTTGAAATCTCTAAGAATTAAGACTAAAGAGAGATATTATCGGACTGGAGCTAATAGCATTGAGAAATGAAAAAGACTGACCCAGGTGTCAATAGATGACAGCAAAAATGAACATTTTTGGGTGAGTTAATCTGATAACATGCGATTTAACTTGGGAGAATTTTAGGGAGGCAAGTGAGAAAAGTCTGAAAGTGGCAACGAGGAGCAAAGAGGTGGCCTTCCCCAAATGTAGGCCCAGATATATAAGGACAGTGGAAGAAAAAAAGCAGCCACTATGTAAGATGGCTTCAGGGGAAGCATATCCTCAGGAGAGAGCTGGTTTTCTAGAGCAAGAGGGTGAATGAAATGTTCAGAGAAGAGGCTAAGGATATAGGGGATTTGGCTGGTGATGGATGAATTCCAGGAGGGCACAAAGGAAAGACATCATTCGTTAATGATACAATGTTCACAAGCAGTCCTTTTACTGGCCTTGTGCCCATTATCTTTTGTTACCTAAAGTTCATCTTTAGTAGTTTTCCTAAGAAGGTCTAATAGAAACAATGCTAGCCGAATTTTTGCATATTTTAAACTCTTTGTAGTTTTTATACTTGAAAGACAGTTTGGCTAGACATAGAGACTTTGTGTCCACTTTTTCTACTTGAGTATCTTGTATACATTGCTCTAATGTCTTCTTGGAACAGATGTTCTTGTGTAGAGATTTAAGGACAGCCTGGCACTTCCCTTTATAAGTGGTTTGATTATCTGCAACCTCTACAAAGGATTTGATTGATTATCTGTAACCTCTCCAAAGGATTATTTCCTTTTCATTGTAGTCAGTAATTATGTCAGGTAAAATGTCCCTGGCATATACTATATCCTTTCAATAAATAGGTGTACTTTTTTTTTTTGAGAAAAGTTTTCTTCAATCATATCTTTAAGTATTTGTTTGTTCCATTATTTTGGATCTTTTCCTTGGGGGCACTAGTTGTAAGTTTTTTTTAAAAAACCTCCTTTGCCTGTTTCCTGTATATATTATTTTGTGTCTAATCCTTTCTATTTTTCATTTCATTTTGCTTTTTTTCTCTTTTCTCTATATTTCTTATTATCTTCCCTTATGTTTCTTTTCTTTCTCACTTCCCTTCTAATTTTGTCTTTATTTCTGTGATGGTTTTGTTTTTTCTACTACTTCTTTTCTGAATTCTTCCGTTGCATTTTATCACCTCCTATCTCTCTAAATCTTCCTCAAATTCCTATGTTTATGTTTTATAATTGTATTTTTATTGGGGTTATGGTCTCACTCTTTTCTCTAATTCAAGGAAAGTTATTTCTAAAAATTTCATCTGCCAAAGCTACCATTTCACTTGTAAAGCATTCTTCATCTGTTAGATTTTGCTCCTTTTTCTAAAATTTTGTTATTGTTTCTTTGTATTGGTGATGTGCTACTTCCTTTCCCTTTCCTATTTATTATCATTGAGTCAACTGGGTCTTCCTGGACCAACTATTTGCAAGAGTTCTGGTATGTATGGGAGCAAGGTTAGGAAGAAGCTGTTTTTGACTAAGTGCAGACTCACTTCTCTGCTGCCACATGAACAGACTGCTTCCTGTGAATATGGCTTATCTGTGTGATTCTTTGTGTAGTCTCACTTGCACTGTCTTTTTGAATCAAACTGGGTACAGGGGACTTTTGTTGCTAGCATGGTTTGCCCCGGTTCCCACATCCACTTTTGTAAACAAGGATAATGTTTCTGTAACTCAGGATATGTCTCTTACCTTCAGGAGTTATACTTTTGCTTGCAGTGTCTAGCTGAACCTTCTTGCAGCTGAGATTGGTCTCTGTGTTTTTCCTATTTTTTCCTATACAATTTCTGCTCAACCTCAGCTGATTTTGTTAACTCTTATACATGTTTTAGAACCTGGGCAGTATATTTGTGTTGTACTCTGCAAAAGAAAAAAAAAATGGACTTGCAGATTTTGGAAGGTGGGGTTTGTGTTTTTATCCTTTTGTATCCAGAATGATTTTCAAAGATAGAAAAGTGAAAATACAAATATACCCACTCATGTTCATGCCAGAAGTCTTCTCTAACTCTTTAGAATAGTAATGTTCACATTTTAGGAATAATTAGAAATCTATAAGCATGTGGCCTGATTTCTCTCCTAATCAACTCTGTTAATAAAAATGCATATATAGCCTACCAAAACTAGGTATGACTCATATCTCTTGGCTAGATGTTACTCAAAGCCTAATAATTGGGCTGGGAGTGGTGGCTCGGGTCTGTAATCCTAGCACTTTGGGAGGCTGAGGTGGGCAGATGACCTGAGGTCAGGAGTTTGAGACCAGCCTAGTCCAACATGGTGAAACCCGGTCTCTACTAAAAATACAAAATATTAGCTGGGCGTGGTGGCAGGTGTCTGTAATCCCAGCTACTCAGGAGGCTGAGGCATGAGAATTGCTTGAACCTAGGAGGCAGAGGTTGCAGTGAGCTGAGATTGCACTACTGCACTCCAGCCTGGGTGACAGAGCGAGACTCCATCTCAAAAAAAAAAAAAAAAAAAAAAAAAAGCCTCATAATTGCAATACGCTGGAAATTTCAGGACCCCAAGAGACAGACCAATTAGGAGTATGTGCTGTTCATTTACTTCTTATAAAATATCAGGCTAAGCAATATTCAGGTATTTCTAACACTGTTTCCAACTCTTTGCCTCAAGGTCAGGTTCTACAATTACCTGAATCATCTGGGCCCTAAGTTGGCATTGCTAGCATTGAATTGGGGACAGATGCCCATTTCTTGTGGCCAAAAGTGCCTGCTTGTCTGGCAAGAATAATTTCACACAGGGATGATGTCAGAGTATTTTTGGTCCTGAAAGATACTTACTTACCTGATTCAGAAACTTGTTAATTAATTTTGATTATGTCAATGATAATCCAGTTATACATGTGACTAAACAATTCTTGAACCGTCTAGACTGTATTCAGGTAGCATATAGCTGAATTTCTACTCCAAATTTTTGTTTCTGATAGTATGATTGCTATCAGTCTGGATTTCAGTAGTTTCATGGAAGAATAAAATTTAGGATAATTTTGTGATTCATATACCACTACTCAAATTCTAATTAAATTTTGTCTTTTTTGATAGCATGTTTCCCTTTCAGGTCTGTGAAATTAAATTCCTCTTGCAATCAAGCTGCACAGATAGGGGAGACACTTGGTAATTCAAACACATCTTGGGGTTTGCACACCAAAAGCAGCTGCAGAAACTTAAAGTATGATTCATGTTCATCAGAATATGTCTTCTAAAATTCGGACTTTATTTCTACCAAAATAGTACAGCAACTCCTCAAAATCTGTAATTCCATTAAGCTCAAGGCGGTTGACCTGAGCTCAACTCATATGCCTGGTTTATGCCTGAGATTTTTACTTTCTGAAACAAAAGCCCTTCCTTTCCCCTGTGATTTCAAGTTCAGTATATTCAGATGTTTCATCAGAACAAGAAAGCACAATCTCTTGGGCCCCTGAATGTTGAATAAGTTGGGCCAGTGAGAGCTCTTTAATTCCCCAAAGTTCTTGACCTCAAAACATCTCTTTAACAAGTACCCATAACCTACACTTCTGACTGCATTCAAATAAACCCAGACTGCATACGCTGTTTTGTCTTTGCCCAAACTGATGACGGTTAGGAGTACAGGCATGAAGAATGTTGACAACCATGATAATTTCTATTCTTAGACCAGGAAAAGCTTTCTTGCAAAGCTCAAATGAAAAACACACCCGATGAATGATGCAAGGAGCATCAGACCACTTTAACGCTTAAATTAGTATTAAAGCATTTCTCTCCTCTTTCACTGTAGATACCCCACATACAATAAACATCCATGTTTAGACCAAACTTCTCAAATTCCTTTTTGAGATAGTCTTTGCAAAGCTTCTGTGTTCTACCTAACCAGGATCAGTTAGATCACATACTGGATACTGCTGCTTTGGAGCATTCCATTCCATATATTTTGCACATGGGATGTACATCTTAAATTTAAAATAAAAAATATTTTTACATTGTTTCTTAAGTAAGTGTGTGTCATAATGGTTTTCAAACTTTTTTTTTTCCAAGCTGGAAGTTCAATATGCAAATGAAACAAAAGAGAAGCTAGCTGTAGTTAAAAGGAGTTGAGAGAAAAGACAAATATATAGACAGAAAACAGATCAGTGGTTGCCTAGAACTGGGTTAAGAGTAAAATTATTGCAAATGGACATGAAGGATCTTTTGGGGATAATGGAAATGTTCTTAAACTGGAATGTAGTGTGGTTGCACAACTCTAAACATTTGCTAACAATTATTGATTCATATACTTATAATGAGTGAATTTTATGGTATGTAAATTATACCTTAATAAAGTTAATAAAGAAACTAAATATAAAATAATGCAGGATGGCAAGAAGTTGTTGGAGATATAGATGAAGCAGATTGGTACTTCATTGATAATTGTTAAAATTGGAAATGAGTGTGTACAATCTTATTTCACTCTTTTTCTTCATTTGTGCTCATTTAAATTTAAAAAAAAGAGCTGAATTTAAAAAATAAAAAATAATAAAGGGGGCTGAGAATAAAGGAGCATTTCCCTTGTCCATTAGAGACAAAATTTTTAGGCCTATCTGAAGCACCTTTAGATACTTAATCAATGTTTGTGACTAGTCTATGGTACATGAAAAGAAAATGTATTATTCTCGCTCACATATTTATATAAACTTATAAATATATAAATGTACATATACAATCTACCTTGCTAATTATGTTATTTAGGCCTTCTATATCCTACTTAATTTTTGACAACTTGATCTGTTCTGGATGAGATAAATTAACTAGTCATGTTTTCTGTGGATTTCTCTTTGAATTTGATGTAGTTTTCCTTTATAAATTTCAATTTTATGTTATTTGGTACATTGATATTCATAAGCATGAAATCTTAATTTTGCATCTCATGTTTTATAAAGTGCCTATCTTTGTCTTATTTAATACTTTTTTCTTGAATTTAACTTGGAGATAAAATCTTGATCTTGGTTTTAATTTGCTTGGTATGCCTTCACCTATCTTTTTATTTTCCACCTTTCTAAATCATTTTGTTTTCACTGTATCTTATGTATATAGCACAAGGTTGAGATTTGCCCTGATATCCCAGTTGAGAAAATTAATTGAAAATTTTCAGTGCTCATTGAAAAGAAGGTCATGTCATCTTTTATCTTACTTTACCTATCTTTTGTTTTTTTGTTAGGTTTTGTTTGTAGTGCTCATTTATTTTTCACTATATGGCCTGTATATATATTCTTTGTGTATGCATGTGTTTTGAACTTGAAAGGTTTGCATTTTTGTTCCAGTGGTCATCTTAATAACTTTGAAACTACTTTTTATATATTATTGAAAGCATTGAACAGTGTATTTCCTGTTCCTCACCTCTTTACCCTCTAATTATATTATTTTTGTTATGTTTACCTTATTTCTTTTCTCTTTCAGCTTTTGTTGGTTGTTTCATTGTGATATTGTCAAGACTTACAACGGTTACTCTCTGTTCTATGACCATAATTCTCAACGTTATTTTAGACTTACTTCTATAGATAATGGATTTAATGATTGCTACCAGTCTCCTCTCACTGCCCATATTTCTAAATTCGTCTCTTTGGTGGTTGAAATTCATTCTCTATGAATATCCTATAAAAAAGGGCAATATTAAAACCATATTGCTTGCATGTTCAAAAGTGTTCATTATATTTTTATTTGAATAAGTTTCTCTGGTATGAAATCCTTGGGTATGAAACCTTTAGAATTACATTTTAATTTTTTCCCCCTTATAGATGTCTTGATCATTTTGCTCTGGATGCATGAAAGATCCTTTCATTATCTTTGAAATCCAGTAGCTATGCTAGACTAGGTCTTGCTTTGATTATTCTTGACATTTTTTAATTTGGGATATGATATGCTCTTTCAATCTATAGATTTAGGTCTTTTATTTCTGGAAAGTGTCTCAAAATATTTATCTGCTTTTTTTTTTTCCTGTTCCAACTTCTAGATTCTTTTGTTAGATTATATACATATTGGATTTCTTTTGTTTCTTTCCATTTACATAATTTTCTCTCTAATCCCTTTTTTTCATTTTCACTTCATTTAACTTGCTTTTCTCAATCTGGTATTTTGTGATTCTTAAAACATTTTTTATTTTGCCTTTTTTTCCCCCCTTAACAAGTGTTTATTCCAAGTTTGTGTTAATTTTGTCTTCATTTTTTAAATAGTTATTTTTTTCCTCTCCCTTTTTCAATTCGTATTTAAGTTCCTTTTGTGGTTCTGCTGCTTTTAAAAAAATTTTCAAGTGAAAGGACTTAAGAAAGTTGAGTTAGTCATACTTATTAGTTCATGCCACATTATCATAATTGATTCATGGAAGGCTAGTTTTATTTATTTGTGGTTTCCTTTTTATTCTTATTCCTATCCTCCCCTGGATAAGCAATCATACAAATGCATCAAATATGTATCTTTTTGTTTGCATATATTTTTGTAAAATGTGTATAGTTTTTATATACGCACTTTTAAAATTAAAAAAAATATTTTAGAGAGAATCTTACTATGTTGCCCAAGCTAGCCTCGAACTCCTGGGCTCAAGAGATCCCCAACCTCAGCCTCCCAAGTAGCTGGAACTACAGGCCTGCACCACCGTGCCTGGATGACTGATTACTTTTTGATTGATTGCTCATGTTTGGAGGAGAGGTTTTCCAAGAAATGCTGCTTGCAGAAGGTTTGTGCTGAGAGGCCTGGACCATGTTTCAGCCTAATAGGAATTCTGCTTATAATACAGAGGTTGTGTAGATGAGTTCCTTTAGCTTCTACTTTTAACTAAGAGAAATTGGCAATCACAGGGCTGCTCACATCACAGTCTATATATATTTTTTCCATTTTGCCTCACAAACACAATGCTTCCTGCATATGTGGTATGTCTGAATGATTCTTCTTCCAATGGCGCCCTACCACCTTCTCTTTTATGATAAACCAGGTTGAGGGAAGACACTGCTGCCTGTCCACATACTTGATTCCTTTATTTCAAATGAAAGATTGTTGGTTTTGTCTCTAAGATAAGTCACTTACTTTTGTGAAGTGTGCTTTGTTGATGTTGTCTTCTGCAGTCGGTAGGCATTTACATCTTTTATCAAAGTATTTCTGCCATTCACTGTATTTCACATATATTGTAGTTCAGGGTTTCAGGTATCTACTGTTTTCAATGAAAATGAATTTTGTATTATTGTCATTATCCTTGTTACTGAGTGATTTCTGGGAGGTGGAAGAATAGAGGATGCTATCTTTACTCTCTGGATACATTTTTAAAATCACTGTTTTATGTATATATTATGTTAACCCAACTAGATTGTAGTTTGGAGAATTTTCTGCTTTACTTCGTACCATGCATTCTTTACTGTTGATTCCTAAAGTGTCATAAAAATTGCTTCTAAAGTTTGTTGAAAAATTTCAGATAGGGCCCAATTCTTAAAGTTTCTGATTCATAAAGCCTGAGTTAACTAAGTATCTCAGGTGATTCTGATGCTAGTGGTTCACCAGCTGGATATTGTACCTAGTAGCCACTCAATAATTAACTGAATGACTTACAAGGGCATGGGTATTTATGTGAGAACGCTTAGTATAGGAAATAGAGTAGATATTGTTTTTATAAATAAGACTGGCTGAGGGTACACAGTAAATACATACAATTTTATCTGTCACTTTAAAAAATAAAAAACCACTGGCTGAGATAAAATATGCAGCAATAGTGGGGGTACTGAGGCAAGAATATTTTCCTTGGAGAATACAGAAACTTTTTCTATCTCGGAAATATTCTGTCATCTGTTTAATTGAATATTACCTAGCCCACTAATGACACACAATAAATAACTGATGAATGACAGCATCAAAATTGGGCAAACACTGAGAGACAAGACTCCCCCAAAGTAACCCAAGAAATACAAATTATCTATGTGTTTATGTGAATAATCAGGCAAATACTACCTTAAGGTTAATTTAAACAAAAGATGAATTGTTCGTTAATTTGTGGATGTGTTAGATACATCAAAGTGTAACTTCTTCCCTGTTTCTACTCGTACTTTTTTCATTTTAATTTTTATTATTTTTTAATTTTTTTTTTTTTTGTGGCAGACTGCTAGTTCTTTCTTCCTGAGCAGATGACTGCTGACATACAGACCAAATTTTCTGTCTTCCCTTATAGCCATGTTTGGCTATGTGATAAAGTTCTCATGAAGTAATGAGTCCTGCTTTATTTTTCTTCATAGCACATATTATTACTTGACATTATGTTATATATTTATGTCTGTATTGACTGTCTCTTCCATTAGAATGCAAAAGCTATTAAAGCAGGGACATTATTTTATTCTCTATCACTTTCCAAGTAGCTGAAAAGTATCTGGCATGTAAAGGACACTCAATAAGTAAAGGAATTCATGCATAATTATTGCAAAAATATAGAGATTAGGTATTACAGGATATGTGGACCCCAGTATTTCTATAATGAGGATGTAGTAAGCCTAATGAAGAATAGTTTATCTTGATTTGGGTTACCAGTTGAACTTGAATGACCACCCTCTGTGTGCATACTTAGCATTCATATTTGCAAAGGGAGGGGGACTGACTGGGTTGATTTCCCTCGAAGGAATAGAGGATCCCTACTGGGGAGAGCTTCATGCCACTTCTAAAGTTTGGCCTCTCTCATCTTCAATCTAGCCACACAGGGTTGCTTTTGGCTCAGGTATCTAACCAGGTCCAGTTATTAGTGGTTAACACAGCATGGTTGGTTTCACTTAATGTACAATGGCATGAGTCACAGCAACACTATGCAGAAGACCATCTATCCTCACAAGAATATGGTGAACATTGCTGCCACTCCCATGCTTTCAAAATAAATACTGTCTTTTCAAAATAGTTGCTTCATGGGAAGTTGTCTGTATTTGTGTTATATGTATCTCAAATGTACTCAACAACATTTTTTAGATGTCCTGTTTTGAAGTTCAGGATGATACAATGGAAATATATAGACTAGTATTGCAAAGACCTGGGTTCAAGACTCAGCTTTGGGACATTTTAGCTCTGTGACCTTGGATAAATCACTTCCTCTTTGGGGGTCTCAGCTTTCTCATTTGTGAAAATAGATGTTGAGGGGAGATGACTTAAAGGTCTCTTCTAACTCCAATAATCTATGACTCTAATTATTTTCAGAGTTTTCATGGCATTACTGTGAACATTCCCAATCATACAGAAAACCTTTTCTTTCCTTTTCTTTTCTTTTTCTCCTCCCTCCCTCCTTCTTTTTCCTTCCTTCCTTCTTTCTTTTTCTTTCTTTCCTTCTCTTTCTTTCTTTTTTGAGAT